>NC_000014.9:74308682-74460197 GCF_000001405.40 Homo sapiens | reverse complement strand
CAGGGCAGGGCTTAATGGCTTGCTGATCCGGAGTCTGCCATCTGCTTCCTGAGCTTAAAGCCTGAGAGGAAAGGGCAGCTTCCACCTGAGAAGGCACAAAGGGAAGCCATGTCTGTAGGAGAGAGCCAGGCCATCAGGCCACAGAGATGAGAGGGAGGAAGAGCTGGGGGTCCCTGGAGGTCCAGGGGAAATTTTGAATGGACGGAGAGCCATGGAAGGAGGGAAGGGGAATCCTAGAAGCATCTGGGAGGAGAGCAGAAGCCTCGCTGGCAGAAGGGGCTACTTCCTGGGGACAGTAGATTTGGCTGGCTGCAATTTTTAAAGAAATCCATCTGGGCAGTGAGTTATTGGGGCCTCTCTGAAGGAGTCAGCAACAGCCCTGGACCACACGCACAGGCTGGTGCCATGACTCAGCCTGGGTTGGAATTAGCAGTGGCCTCTGGTGGCTGGTGGCGGTAGTGGGGGGCTTTGGCCAACTAATGTAGAGGTAGCCAAGGCCTGGACGTTACAGCCCTGAAGGGGCTGCATGTCCCCCCACAGGCTCCTGGACCAGAGTCTGGCCCTGTGTCCTGAAGATGCAGGGTACCAAGCATGGTTTGAAAAGTGATCTGTTTGGCCTGAGCTTAGCAGCAAGTAAGAACAAGTCCTCACAATTTCAGTCACATGATTCCCGAGAACTGTTCTGTTTTGTTTTGAGACACGATCTCACACTGTCGCCCAGGCTGGAGTGCAGTGGCACAATCTGGACTCACTGCAACCTCCGCCTCCCACTCTCAAGGGATCCTCCCACCTCAGACTCCTGAGTAGCTGGGACTGTAGGCTTGCACCACCATGCTCAGCTAATCTTGTATTTTTTATAGAGACAGGGTTTCGCCATGTTGCTCAAAGTCCTGGGCTCAAGCGATCTGCCCGCCTCAGCCTCCCAAAGTGCTGGGATTACAGGTGTGAGCCACCACACCCAGCCACCTGTTTTTATGCATCCCTGTCTCCTGCTGGTTTTTGAGGCACAGCCAGCTTGCCAACACAATGACCCAGGGACTTTCCCTACCGTGCCCTCTCCCCTCCAGAGACAGAGACAGTGCTGCTTGCTCCCCTTGGCCTGCTGGGTGCATGCTGCTGCTCTCAGAGCTCCAAGCTGTCTGCTCTAGATAACTTCTCCACTCAGCGTCTCATCCCAACCTCCAAGATGCTGTGCGGGTCCTGCCACAGGCTCTCACACACATTGCCCACAGCCCCGACACCATCACACGAAACAGGCACACTTCCCTGTCCACTGCAGACGGTGGACAGCAGGGAGTTCCAGAGGGTGCAGGGAAAAGTGGAGACAGCAGACAGAGCTCCCCAGACCCAGGGCTTGGTCTCCTTACCCACAGAATGGGGTTAATCACATCTGCCTGACTCCTTCACAGCAGTCATGTCAAGGTGTGTATAAAATGTTTGCTGACAAACCTGTTCAAAAGTGCCCATTTAATTATTTTCTAGGTACAAAAAAAATTTTCTGGGTGATGCTATAATAGCTCTCTGGACTTGTCTGTAATAACTAGTATTTGCACAGCACTTTTTTTTTTTTTTTTTTGAGATGGAGTCTTGCTCTGTCACCTGGGCTGGAGTGCAATGGTGCGATCTTGGCTCACTGCAACCTCCGCCTCCTGGGTTCAAGCGATTCTTCTGCCTCAGCCTCCCGAGTAGCTGGGATTACAGGCACCTGCCACCACGCCCAGCTAATTTTTGTATTTTTTTTTAGTAGACACAGGGTCTTCACCATGTTGGCCAGGCTGGTTTTGAACTCCTGAGCTCAGGTGATCCACCCACCTCAGCTTCCCAAAGTGCTGAGGTTACCCGCCAAAGTGCTGGGATTATAGGTGTGAGCCTCCGCACCCAGCCTGCACAGCACTTTCTAACCTGCAAAGCACATTCACAAACTTGCTTAGGGGCAATCATATTTGAAAGGGCCTAGCATAGAGCCTGACATACAGACTACACTCAGTAAATGAGTTATTATTTTCTCACTCAGTCCTCACAGCTCCATTTTATAAATGAAAAAACTGAGGTTTAAAGGGGTTAATAGACCTACCCAAGTTTCTCTCAGAAATTGTTCCAAGCTGGGCGCAGTGGCTCTCCCGTAATCCCAGCACTTTGGGAGGTCGAGGCGGGAGGATCACTTGAGCCCAGGAGTTCGAGAGCAACCTAGGCAACATAGTGAGACCTCATCTCTACAAAAAATAAAAAAAAATTAGCTAGGCATGGTGGCACTTGGCTGTAGTCCCAGCTACTCAGGAGGCTGGGGTGGGAGAATCACTTGAGCTCACAAGATTGAGGCTGCAGTGAGTTGTGACCGCACCACTGCAGCTCCAAAACTGAAGGCTTCTGATTCCAAATCTCGAGCCCTTTAAATTGCATCACCTGCCTCTGTGGGAAACAGCAGACCCCTTTTCAATGATCCTAATAAGCTTTGGAGAGAGGCAAGAGTCCCCTGGGAGGGGAAATGGAGCGTATGGCTTTGGGCCTCTTTGCTGCCCCCCTTCTATAGGATAATCCTGAGAAGCACCTACAGAAATCCTGCGTCCAGGAACAAGTGGATAAAAAGGGAATAGGAAGCAGGGAGAGGAAGAATATAAACAACCAAGCTGAAGACAGCCAGAGAAAGTAAATGTGACCAGTGAGGCAGAGAGCTGATGGATGGCAGCATCTCTGGAGGAGGAAATGTGGCCGCAGAGGATGGAAGGAGGGTGCGGGAGGCCCAGAGAAGCAGGGCGGGAGAGTGGCTCTTGGTGAATCAGGCGTGCAAGGAGCTGCTGTTTCTCCTCAGTGCAGGATATTGATGGCTTATTGACCCAAAGCATGGGAGAGGGCGCCTGCTAGGGGAGAAGGAGCTCAGCCCAGGGCTGGCTAGGGGAATGGGGAGGCAAGGGCTGTGGGAAAGGAGGCCTGGGAGCAAGGACCAGTGTGAGGGAGGGAGAGGGATGGAGGAGGCAAGTGGGGTGACGCCTTGTGGAGCAGGAGAGGGCATCGACCCAGCACCTGACCTGGTTTTCTGAGGTCGCCTGGGGTCCCTTGAGTGCTGGAAACCACTAGCTACTTTGCCCAGCCTTCCCGGCTGTCAAATCTCTTTGAAGGCCTTGGGCACGCTGGCCCCAGATGCTTAGCATGCATCGGATAACACTCAGACCGTTGTGGCAAAATTAGCCAATTTCCAAAACCCATTAAATACGCCTCCTGATAGCATCTCTCTCAGGGCCATTTTCAAAAGCGTGAACTGCCTGGGAAGCCTTCACCATGGCTAGTTCTAGGCTGCCTTCTCCTCCCATGTGGCCTGACTCCATGAACTGAGTGACTTCCCTCCATGGCTCCTGCAGGGGCACAGCTGTTGCTCCTAGAATCCTGCCGCCGAGAGCCAAGGTGGCCCTACTAGGAAGTCCTATTGCATACGTCCAGCCCCCAACTGATGGACAACACACCAGGCTCCTGGACAGTGGTTTCCAGCTCCAGCTTGGAAGGAAATTTGCTGCATAACCCCCACCCCCAGCTCCAGTGACCCCTCTTTTATAAGATGGAAACAAAATGCATTTATACCTCATTGGGAAAAGGAAATGGAAATTTAAAAGTCAGAGAATTGAAAAGGATCTTTATTTTATTTTATTTTATGGGTTTTTGTTTTGTTTTGTTTTGAGATGGAGTTTTGCTCTTGTTGCCCAGGCTGGGGTGAATGGCACAATCTCAGCTCACTGCAACCTCCCCCTCCCAGGTTCAAGTGATTCTCCTGCCTCAGCCTCCTATATAGCTGGGATTACAGGCATGCACCACCAGGCCCGGCAAATTTTTTTGTATTTAGTAGAGACGGGGTTTCACTGTGTTAGTCAGGCTGGTCTCAAACTCCTGACCTCAGGTGATACACCTGCCTTGGCCTCCCAAAGTGCTGGGATTACAGGCATGAGGCACTGCGCCCAGCAAAGGATCTTAAATATGACCTACCTACCTCCTTCACTTTATATGTGAGAAAACCAACACCCAGAGAGGGGATGAGACCATCTAGTGGCACACAGCTGCTGGCAGCAAGAACAGGACAAGAAGCCAGGCCCTCACTCTTTCCTTGGCTCAATCTGGTGAAGAGAGCTGAGCGATATAACCATCAGACTCCTACAGAAATCATTGGATTTGGAATCTAAAGACCTGGGTTCAAATCCTGACTTTGTCCCTTAATACCTAAATAACCTTAGGCAAGTTATTTCACTTTGTTTGCTTCGTGGGGCTGGGGGCAGCCAGGGGGTCCACTGAAAGGAGTCTCATCTCTCTCCAGAGAAAGAGGAACACCATTCAGCCACCAACCCAGGAGGGAGAACAGCACAGTTGGAGGGAGGAACACCCAGAAGCGGGGTCAGAACTGCGGTAAAGAAGGCCTTGGGAGTCTGGAAGGGAGAGGATGGGAGGCTGAAGAGTGAGCAGGAAGGCTTAGAAGCCAGGTCGGATTGGGTAAGAAGGAGCTGGGCACTGCGGCTCACGCCTGTAATCCCAGCCTTTGGGAGGCCGAGGCAGGCAGATCACCTGAGGTCAGGAGTTTGAGAGCACCCTGGCCAGCATGGCGAAATCCCGTCTCTACTAAAAATACAAAAATTAGCCAGGCGTGGTGGCAGGCGCCTGTAATCCCAGCTACTCAGGAGACTGAGGCAGGAGAATCACTTGAACTCGGGAGGCGAGAATCGCTTGAACTTGGGAGGAGGAGGTTGCAGTGAGCCAAGATCGCACCACTGCACTCCAGCCTGGGCAACAGGGCAAGACTCTGTCTCAAAAAAAAAAAAAAAAAAAGATTGGGGAAGAAGGAAGGGTACTGGCATCTTCTGCTCCAGCCAGGCACAGCTCCAGACGAGAGTGGAGCCAGGTGAGGCATGCAGGACTCCAGGGTGGTGCAGGGACACGAAAGGTGTCCTCAGCCAGGCTGGCCTCCCCTGGTTCTTTCAGCCCCTTCTAGGCAGAGCACAAGTAGTAATGAGAATGGAAAGAGATTTATTTCAAGCAATTGGTTCACGTGGTTGTGAAGGCTGCAAGTCTGAAATCTCCAGGACAGGCCTGCAGGCTGGAAACTCTCAGGCAGGAGCTGACACTGCAGTCTTGAGGCAGAATTTTTTCTTTCTCAGGGAAACCTCAGTTTTGCTTTGAAGGCCTTCCAGTTGATTGGATGAGGCTCACCAACATTATCAAGAATAATCTCCTTCACTGAAAGGCAGCTGTAGACTTACAGTCACAGACAACTGCTAACCACATCTATAAACTACCTTCATGGCAATACCTCAATTAGTGTTTGATTGAGTAACTATAACCTAACCAGATTGACACATACAATTAAACCTCACAATAGGTGAATTTGTTTTCTGTGGGGGATCGATCAGAATGGTGGGAAAAACTATAGGGAAAGGATGCCAGCCTTCTGAAGGGTCGGATGGTTCTGCAGAGCCCCGGGGGAGAACAGCTGAAGGCAGCTGTTCTATAACCCTGAGGCAGAGGGCAAGGAGTAGGTACAAGGGAGTGTGGTGGAATTTATCTTAAACAGGCTTGTTTACTTATGTTGACCAGGAACTGACCCACATTCCCTGAAAGGGGAACAATAAATGTTAATTACCTACAGGTTGTGTTGGCTCCAGGTTTTTGGCATTGTGCCTATAATGAATAAAAGGAAGCGGCTCCAGCTTCTCAGGGCTGCTCTCTGGCCACTAGAGCCAGGCAGTCACCTAGCTGCTCTTACACTGCATACCTGTGTCTGAGTACTCATTTCATCCATCGGCCAGGGTCTGCGGGACAGACCTGGCAGTTCTCCTTTGAACTGATATTTACATTTCCTAATGTGTGTTAGGAACATTCTAACTGCTTATCAAAACCTTGATTTCATAGCTGTTATTGCCTAAGATGAGGTTAAGTTTTAAAAGTGAGCTAATTTAAAGAAAAATATGAAGTAAACAATAGTAGGTAGTACTTCAGAGGACAAAAATCATGAAGGTAATAATACTTTGCAACTGAAATTTGGAAAACAGTGAAGATGTTTAACTTCTGTAAAGAACATAGGCTTCGGAGTCAGAAAAATCTGAATTTGGGCCAGTTCTGCCATTCTCTAACTGTGTGACTTTGGACAATCTACTTAATTTGTTTCATTAACTTCTGCTGTCTTGATCTTTCTTATTTCCTTCTTTCTTTGTATTTTTATTCAGTTTTTTTGTTTGTTTTGTTTTTGTTTTTGTTTTTTGAGACAGAATCTCACTCTGTTCTCCAGGCTGGAGTGTGGTAGCACAATCTCAGCTCACTGCAACCTCCGCCTCCCCAGTTTCAAGCAATTCTCCTCCTCAGCCTCCCAAGTAGCTGGGATTACAGGTGTGCACCACCACACCCGGCTAATTTTTCTTTTGTTTTGTTTTGTTTTTTGTAGAGACGGAGTTTCACCATGTTGGCCAGGCTGGTCTCGAACTCCTTACCTCAAGTGATCTGCCCACCTTGGCTTCCCAAAGTTCTAGGATTACAGGTGTGAGCCACTGTGCCTGGCCTGTATTTTTATTCAGGTCTTCTTTTTCTAACTTCTTTTTTAAAAAACAGCTTTATTGAGGTATCATTGACATACAATAAGTGTCATATATTTAAGGTGTGCGATGTGCTAAGTTTTGACTTATGTATCTATATACCCATGAAACTATCACCATAATAACAAACACACTCATCATTCCCCAAAATTTCCTCATGCTCCTTTGTAAAGTCTCCTTCCTGTTCCCCTGTTCCTTGCTTTACTCCTCCTCTCCCTGCCCAAACAACTGATCTTCTTCTTCTTCTTTTTTTTTTTTTTTTTTTTTTTTTTTTTTTTTTTTTTTGAG
Organism: Homo sapiens; assembly: GCF_000001405.40. Taxonomy (NCBI): domain Eukaryota; kingdom Metazoa; phylum Chordata; class Mammalia; order Primates; family Hominidae; genus Homo; species Homo sapiens. The sequence continues at coordinate 74,453,349 of NC_000014.9, read as the reverse complement.
ACAGAGTCTCACTCTATTGCCTAGGCTGGAGTGCAATGGTGTGATCTTGGCTCACTGCAACTTCTGCCTCCTGGGTTCAAGTGATTCTCCTACCTCAGCTTCAGCCTCCCAAGTAGCTGTGATTACAGGCATGTGCCACCACGCCTGGCTAATTTTTGTATTTTTAGTAGAGATGGGGTTTCTCCATGTTGGTCAGGCTGGTCTTGAACTCCTGACCTTAGGTGATCCACCTGCCTTGTGCTCCCAAAGGGCTGGGATTACAGGTGTGAGCCACTGCACCTGGCCAACAACTGATCTTCTTTGTGTCACTATAGATGAGTTGTATTCTCTAGAATTTTATAAAAATGGAGTAATACTGTATGTACACTTTTCTGGTCTGGCTCTTGAGCTCTGTGTAATTATTCTGAAATTCATCCATGTTATGTGTATCAATACCTCATTCTACTTTGTTGCTGAGTAGTATTCCATTCTATGGATATATCGTATTTTATTCACCCATCTATCAATTGATGAATATTTGGGTTGTTTCTAGTTTTTGGCTATGAGAAACAGAGCTGCTTTGAACATGTACAAATCTTTGTACAGACTTATGCTTTCTTTTCCCATGGGTAAATACTTAAGAATGTAATGGCTAGATTATGTGGCAAGTTTATATTTAACTTTTGAGAAATGGACAAACTGTTTTCTAAAGTGTTTGTGCCACTGTATTAGTCCGTTTTCATGCTGCTGATAAAGACATACCCGAGACTGGGCAGTTTACAAAAGAAAGAGGTTTAATGGACTTACAGTTCCACATGGCTGGGGAAGCCTCACAATCATGGCAGAAGGCAAGGAGGAGCAAGTACATCTTACATGGCAGCAAAGAGAGAGAACTTGTGCAGGGTAACTCCTCTTTATAAAACCATCAGATCTCATGAGAACTCATATACTATCATGCAGGAAAGACTCACCCCCAATAATTCAATCATCTCCTACCATGTTCCTCCCATGACATGTGGAAATTGTGGGAGTTACAATTCAAGATGAGACTTGGGTGGGGACACAGCCAAACCATATCAGCCACTTTACAATCCCACCAATAGTGTATGAGGTTTCAGTTCATGCATGTCGTTGTCAGTACTTGGTATGGTCAATCTTTATAATTTTAATAATTTTAGGAGCAATATAGTGGTATCTCATTGTGGTTTCAATTTGTGCTTCCCTAATGACTAATGATGTTAAGTATCTTTTCATGTGTTTACTTGCCATTTCTATATTCTCTTTAGTAAAGTGTTAAAAGTCTTTTGCCCATTTAAAAAACATGAGTTGTTTGTTTTCTTATTATTCAGTTACAGGGGTTCTTTTTTTTTTTTTTTTTTTTTTTTTAGACAAAGTCTCTGTTACCCAGGCTGGAGTGTAATGGCATGGTCTCGGCTCACTGCAACCTCCGCCTCCTGGGTTCAAGTGATTCTCCCACTTCAGCCTCCCAAGTAGCTGGGACTATAGACGCGTGCCACCACACCCAGCTAATTTTTGTATTTTTAGTAGAGACGGGGTTTTGCTATGTTGGCCAGGCTGGTCTCGAACTCCTGACCTCGTGATCCACCCGCCTTGGCCTCCCAAAGTGCTGGGATTACAGGCATGAGCCACCGTACCCGGCCTACAGAAGTTCTTTATATTGCACATAGAAGTACTTTATCAGATATGATTTGAAAACATTTTCTCCCAAACAATGGCTTATCTTTTTGTTCTCTTTAAAATGTCTTTCAAAGAGCAGAAGGTTTACTTTTGATGCAGTAAATTTATCCATTTTTCTTCTATGGATTGTGTTTTGATGTTATATCTGAGAAATCTTTGCCTAGCACAAATTACAAAGATTTTTTTCCAATGTCATCTTCTACAAGTTTTACAGTTTCAGGTTTTACAAATTAGCTCCATGATCAACTTTGAATCAATCTTTATATAAAGTATAAGGTATGGATTGAACATTTGTATGTCTTTATTTTACAAATGGACATCCAATTGTTTCAGCACTGTTTCTTGAAAAGGCTATTCTTTCTCCACTTAATTGTTTTCTGCACTTTTGTCAAAAACCAGTTGTTCATATATGTATTTATTAACTCTGAATTCTGGTTAACTGACTATTTTTCTGTCTTGATGCCAACACCTCACTGTCTTGATTATTGTAGCTTTTTAAGTTTTGAAATCAGGTAGTGTCAGCCATCTAAATTTGTTCCTTTTTTTCAAAGTTGTTTTGGCTAGTCTATGTCTTTTGTATTTTCATATGAATTTTAGAAATTTGTCCATTTCTTTCAAAAAAGTCTGCTGGAGTTTTCAGTGGAATTACAATGAATCCATAGATCAATCTGGGGGATACTGACATCTAAACAATGAGTCCCCTGACCCATGAACAAGGTATAGCTTTCCACTCTTTAATTTCTTTCAGTAACATTTTACAGTTTTCTATTCCTAGTTTGCTGGGAATATGTTTTCATGTGTTTACTTGTCATTTCTATATCTTAGTTGGTAAAGTGTTAAAAATATTTTGCCCGTTTAAATAATATGAGTTGTTTGTTTTCTTGTTATTGAATTACAAGAGTTCTTTATATGGCATGTAGAAGTACTTTATCAGATATATGATCTGAAAATATTTTCTCCCAAACGATGGCTTATCTTTTCATTGTCTTTACAATAAATGTCTGGAATTGTTATGTTCTCTTGAGATCTTATCAGAAATGGTGTCAGATTTTGTCAAATGTTTTTTCTGCATCTATTGAGAAGATCTTATAATTTTTATTTTTAGGTTATTAAGAAGATGAATTACACTGATTGAATTTTAAAGTTAAACCACCTTTGCATCCCTGGAATAAACTCTACTTAGTCATGATGTATTATCCTGTTTATATCTTGTTGAATTCAACTTGCTAAAACTTTATTTAGAATTTTTTATGCATATTCATGCAGGATATTGTTCTGTACTTTTCTTATAATGTCTATGTTTGATTTTGGTATTATGGTAATACTGGCCTCCTCTTCCATTTTCTGGAAGGGTTTAGGTAGAATTGGTATTGCTTCATCATTAAATATTTGATAAAGTTCACCAGAGAAGCCATCTGGGCCTGGAGTCTTCTTTGTGGGAAGATTTTTAACTGCAAATTCAATTTCTCTAATAGATATAGGAATATTCATGTTATCTATTACTTTTCATGTGAGCTTTGGTACTTGTGTCTTTTAAGGAAATTATCCATTTCACCTAAGTTATTAAATTTATTGGTATAACATTATTCAGAGTATTTCTTTACTATCTTTGTAATTTTGTAGAATTTATAGTGATGTTACATCTCTCACTCCTGATGTTAGCAATTTGTGTCTTCTCTCTTTTTTTCCTACTCAGTCTAGAGATTTATCATTTTTGTGATAAAGAACTATCATTTGGTTTTATTAATTTTCTTCTTTGTTTTTCTGTTTCCTATTCCATTAATTTCTGCTCTGACTTTTATTATTTCCTTTCTTCTATTTATTTTGGGTTTAATTTGCTCCTCTTTTTGTAGGTGGAATTTGAGATCATCATTTTGAGACTTTTGTTCATTTCTAAGTGTTTAATGCTATAAATTTGCTTTTAAGAACTGCTTTATTACAGAATCATGGTGTGGAGAAAAAAATTTTTTAACTGCTCTAGTGGCATTCCACAAACTTTTTATTCTTTGCTTTCTTTCTTTTCTTTTTCTTTTTCTTTTTTCTTTTTTCTTTTTTTTTTTTTAAGGCACAGTCTTGCTCTGTCACCAGGCTAAAATACAGTGGCACAATCATAGCTCACTGCAGCCTCAAACTCCTGGGTTCAAGCAATCCTTCCATGTCAGCCTCCTGAGTAGTTAGGACTATGGGTACATGCCATTTTGCCTGGCTTTTTTTTTTTTTTTTTTTTTTTTTTTGTAAAGACAGGATTTTGCTATATTGTCTAGGCTGGTCTTGAACTCCTAGCCTCAAATAATCCTCCCACCTCAGCCTCCCAAAGTGCTGGGATTACAAGCATGAGCTACCATGCCCAGCCACATCACACAACTTTTGATGTGTTTTATTGTCATTTTCATCCAGTTCAAAACACTTTCTTTTTTTTTTTCTTTTTTTCTTTCTTTGTGAGACAGGGTCTTGCTCTGTCACCCAAGCTGGACTGCAGTGGCGTGATCTTGACTCCCTGCAGCCTTGACCTCCAGGGCTCAAGTGATCCTCCCACTTCAGCCTCCGAAGTAGCTGAGACTATAGGCACACACCACCATGCCAGGCTAATTTTTGTATTTTCTTATAGAGACGAGATCTCACTTTGTTGCCCAGTCTAGACTTGAACTCCTGGCCTCAAGTGATCCTTCTGTCTCAGCCTCCGAAAGTGTTGGAATTACAGGTGTTGAGCCACTGCACCTAGCCCTAATTTTCCTATTTCTTTTCTCTTTTTTTCCAATTTTTTAAAATAGCAACAAGGTCTCACTATGTTGCCCAGGCTGGTCTTAAACTCTTGAACTCAAGTGATCCTCCTGCCTCAGCCTCTCAAATTGCTTTCTATTTCTGTTTTTGACTCCTGGATCATTTAGAAGTGTATTGTTTAGTTTTTAAATATTTGGTGATTTTCTAGATATATTTCTCTTGATGTATAATATTCCATTTCATAATAATAATTCCATTATGATCAGAGAACACACTTTATATGACTTGAATCCTTTTAAATTTATGGAGATTGATTTATGGCCCAAAATATGGTCTATCTTGGTAAATGGTCTCTGTGTACTTAAAAAGCACGGATATAGAAGAGGTTGCTGTATTAAAATTTTTCAGCTATAATTATGAATCTGTCTGTTTCTTCTTGCAATTCTATCAGTTTTTCCTTTATGTGTTTTGAAGCTATTATTAGGTATATAACTGTATAGATTGTTATGTTCTCTTGATTAACATTTTCATCATTATAAAATAAACTTCTTTATCTCTGGTAATATTCTTTGCTCTGAAATCTGCTTGATAGATTTCAGCTCCAGCCTTCTTTTGACTAATGGGAGCATGGTATATCTTTTTTCATCTTTTTGCTTTTAACCTATATGTGCCTTTATAGTCCAAGTGTGTTTCTTGTAAGCAGCATATAGTTAGGTCTTGGTTTTTGTTTATACTAATTTAACAGTCTCTGCCTTTTAGTTGGACTATTTATTTATATTTAATATGATTATGATATAGTTAGGTTTAAGCTATCATCCTAGTATTTGTTTTCTACTTGTCTCAACTCTTCTGTATTCCCTTTTCTTCTCTTCTGCCTTCTTTAGACTTAATTAAATCTTGTTCTGACCCTATTTTATCTCCTTGTTGGCTTATTAGTTGTAACTCTTTGTTTTGTTACTTTAGGACTTACTTAGGGGTTTATAGTACACATTTTTTACTATCACAGTTTACCTCAAAGTGATATTTTACCACTTTACATAGAGTATAAGAACATTATGATACTTCTATTTCTCCACTCCTGGCCTTTATGCTATTGTTGTCATACATTTTATGTATGTGTATATATGTTATACATTACACAATACATCTTTATTACGTTTGTATTCTCCACTTTGGGGTGCAATGTTCTATATTTTACCATTAGACTAAGACTATTACTTGTGTTTTTCAAATATCCTACACTTTCCTGACTTTAATTTGCCAGCTTAATTTATCAATTGTTGTAAAAAGTATTAAAATCTGCCACTATGAGAGTGGATTTGTCTAGTTTTTCACTGTAATTTTGTAATTTTTTTTTTTTTTTTTGAGACAGAGTTTTGCTCTTTTGCCCAGACTGGAGTGAAGTGGTGCAATCTTGGCTCACTGCAACCTCCACCTCCCAGGTTCAAGCAATTCTCCAGCCTCAGCCTCTCAAGTAGCTGGGATTACAGGCGTGCGCCACCACTCTCAGCTAATTTTTGTAATTTTATTAGACACGGGGTTTCACCATGTTGGCCAGGGTCTCGAACTCCTGACCTCAGGTGATCCACCTGCCTTGGCCTCCCAAAGTGCTACCTCATCTGGCCAATTTTGTAATTTTTGGGGGGCTATGTTACTAGAAACATGTAAGTTTCCAATCTTTGCTATTATTGTTTGACTAGTGAATTAAACTTTTTTCATTATGCAGAGACTCCCTTTATCTATGATTTTGCTTATTTTTTACCTTACAGTTTAACTGTTATTAATACAGTTGTAACAGAGGTTTTTGGTTAGTATTTGCCTAGCATATTATTTTTATTTCTTCTTGTATTTTATGGTTTAAAAAATATCTTTTAATAGAGACAGAGTCTCAATATGTTGCCCATGCTAGTCTCAAACTCCTTAGCTCAAGCTATCCTCCTGCTTGGGCCTCCCAAAATGCTGGAATCACAAGCGTGAGCCACTGTGCCCAGCCTCATATCTTAGGTTTTGAATGCATGTCTTAAAACAGCACACAGGCTGGGTGCAGTGGCTCACACCTGTAATCCTAGGACTTTGGGAGGATGAGGCAGGCAGATCACCTGAGGTCAGGAGTTCAAGACCAGCCTGACCAACATGGTGAAACCCTGTCTCTACTAAAAATACAAAAATTAGCCGAGCGTGGTGGCATGCACCTGTAATCCCAGCTACTCAGTAGGCAGAGGCAGGAGAATTGCTTGAGCTGGGAAGGCAGAGGTTGCAGTGAGCCGAAATCATGCCACTACACTCCAGCCTGGGAAAGAATGAGACTCCATCTCAAAAAGAAAAAAAAAAAAAAAGCCAGCACATAACTGGGTTTTGTTTTTTAATCTAGTTTGAGAATTCTTTACCATAGCACTTAATTCATTTACATTTGTTGTAATAGCAATAAACAACGTGTGGATTAATTTCTGCATAGTATTTTGTATAGTCCATTTGTCTCATTCTTTTTATGTTTCCTCCCTCTCTTTTCTTGGCTTCTTTTGCATTAATTGAATTTTTCTCACTCCATTTGTTTCTGGTACTTATTTAGAAGACATATTCTCTATCATTAATTTTTTTGGTGCTTATTTTAGAAAATTTCTGTAGGCTTAAATTATTGAAATCTCACATTAGTTAATTTTTTCAACTCTTTCAAACATTACAAGGACCTTGGAATATTTAGGCTGTTTCTCTTGAGTCTTGGTAGTCTACAAAATCACAAATTTAAATTTACTAAGATTGAGAAGGCATCTTCAGGGTGATAGCCAACTTTAGTGGTTTGCTCAATTATTTGAGTTGCTTCTTTCGTTCTTTAAATTCCTTACTTTCTTGCTTGATCACTAAAAATATTTTATCCAGAATTTTTAGTTGTTTTCCATGGAAGATTTGTTTAATGTAACTAGACTTTCATATTTCCAGAAATAGAAGTCTACCTAATCTCTCTGTGCCTCAATTTTCTTTTACATTAAATGGGGATAATAATAACTACCTCATAGGGTTATTATTTTGAGGAATAAATTTTAAAAGGTAATAAAGCAGCTTATACAATGATTGTAAAATAGTTTAAATCAAATGTATATATAGACATATTTGTACAAACACACTCATATATATCTCTTTATAAAGAGACTACATGCATACTCAAATATGTGTCAGAGGCTGGGCACAGTGGCTCATGCCTGTAATCCCAGCACTTTGGGAGGCCAAGGCAGGCAGATCAGTTGAGATCAGGAGTTCAAGATCAGCCTGGCCAACATAGTGAAACCCTGTCTCTATTTAAAGTACAAAAAAATTAGCCAGGCATGGTGATGCATGCCTGTAATCCCAACTACTCAGGAGGCTGAGGCAGGAGAATCGCTTGAACCCAGGAGGCAGAGGTTGCAGTGAGCCAAGATTGCGCCACTGCACTACAGCCTAGAAAACAGAGTGAGACTCCGTCTCAAAACACACACACACACACACACACACACACACACACAAATTTTAATACATCGTAAGGAAGCTTGCAATATGCTAATGTGGCTAGCTCATTTTTTTGCAGACATTAGAATAAATGTCTGTTAGTCTGTTCACATTGCTATAAAGGAATACCAGAGACTGGGTAATTTATATATATATTTTAAAAAGACATTTATTTGGTTCAAAGTTCTGCAGTCTGTACACAAAGCATAATGCTGGCATCTGCTTCTGGTGAGGGCCTCAGGAAGCTTACAATCATGGCAGAAGGTGAAGAGAATCGCACATATCACATGGTGAGAGAGGGAGCAAGAGAGAGAAAGGAGATGCCAGGCCCTTTAAAACAACCAGGTCTCATGTGAACTCATAGAGTGAGAACGGAGTTACCACAAGGACTGTGGCATGCCATTCATTAGGGATCCACCTTCATGACCCAGACACCTCCCACTAGGCCCCACCTCCAACACTGGGGATCACATTTCAGTGTGAGATTGGAAGGGAATAAGCATCCAAACTATACACACGTTCTTTTGCCATTGCTGATTAATTAAAGAATATACTGAAATTAGAAGGAAAAACTGTTACTATTTGTAACTACTGATCTGAATGAATCAGGATTTGAGGATTCTTTTACAATCAAAGCAAAATAAAGAAGTTGGTTTCTGAGGTCAATAGAACTCCTGTTTTTTGGATTTTTTTTGTCTTGTTTTGTTTTGTTTTTTTGAGACAGGGTTTCACTCTGTCACTCAGGCTGGATGGAGTACAGTGGCACAATCTTGACTCGCTGCAATCTCCGCCTCCCAGGCTCCAGTGATCCTCCCACCTCAGCCTCCCAGGTAGCTAGAACTAGAGGTGGGCACTACCATACCCAGCTCTTTTGGATTTTTTTTGTAGAGACAGGGTTTTGCCATGTTGTTCAGGCTTATCTCGAACTCCTGGGCTCAAGCAATCTGCCCATCTCGGCCTCCCAAAGTGCTGGGATTACAGGCATGAGCCACCATGCCCAGCCTTATTTTGTTTTTCTGCATTATCAGAATAGTCTCATTTTTCTCATTTACTGATCTTATAATAAATACATATTGTAAAAATTGAACTTATAAAATAAATTCATGAAGCATGGCTGGACACAGTGGCTCACGCCTGTAATCTCAGCACTTTGGGAGGCCGAGGTGGGCAGATCACCTGAGGTCAGGAGTTTGAGACCAGCCTGGCCAACATGGTGAAACCCCATCTCTACTAAAAGTACAAAAATTAGCCAGGTGTGGTGGCAGGTGCCTGTAATCCCAGCTACTTGGGAGACTGAGGCCTCTTGAATCCGGGAGGCAGAGGTTGCAGTAAACTGAGATCGCGCCATTACACTCCAGCCTGGGCAACAAGAATGAGACTCCATCTAAAAAAAATAAAATAAAATAAATTCCTTCAAATGAATATCATTTTATCTGCTTCATTTATTAGTTAGAGTCTCAAATAAACAATTGCTAAATTACACAGGGCTCTAAGAGCTGCAAGAGTTGAGAGAGATCTGTGAGTTGAAGTAGTTGATGAATGCTTCATGAAATGTAACTGAAATATGCTCAGAGATTCCGTGGAGGTTTGGACCTTCCTAGGGAAGTCATCCCCCTGACCCCTCACTCCTAACCTAATGACAGTTATTGGCCAGCCTGTCCTTCTTTACCCCAGTACCAAGTGATTCCTGAAGAAAGAAGATTCAATCTCTTCCCTTTTCAGCCATCCTCCAGGTCTCCCTTTCAAGAGAGCTTAGTGCATTTTGTGGTTGTAGAATATGTCTCATTAATGTCATATGGAAGCACTTACATCAGGTACCTGGGTCTTTCAAAGAATTCATATCATTTTCTCTAAGGCAAACACACTCAGCTCCAGTTTTCTCTGGGTAAAGCACCATCCTAAGTGTATTATACACATCATGTTCTTTAAGCCTCTCAAGACTTTCAGGATACTGCCTGGTCTTTCTCTTCTCCTTCCCAGTTGTGGAGAATAGCTCTATACTGTGGTTATTTCCTCTCAGTCTCACTGAATCCTCGGCCTTGGCTTCCACCCTGCCACTCCTCATCCACAGTTCTCGCTAAGGTCACCAGTGATTTCTGTGTTGTTAAACGCACTGAGCATCTCTCAGTCCTCATTTCACTTGACCTTTTATCATTGTTCCACACAACTGAGCACTCCCTCTTTCACGAATTGCTTTCATGAATTCCTTCACTTCTGTGACACAGGGTTTCTTGGCTTGGTTTTAGCTCTCCCTCCCCCTTGTCTCCTTTTCAGGTTCATTCTTCTCAACCAGCAATTAAATGTTGTATTTCTAGGAGGTTGAGACTCAAGCCCTGCCCCCTCTTTACACTATGCTTAATTCCTGGGGCATCTCATGCATATGTATAGTGTTGATTACTGTCTGTGCTAATTTTCCCCAAATTTGTATTTCCAGTTCAAACCCACAATCTAGCTGCCTGTTATACAACTCAGCTTGAATGTTTCAGAGGCACCATAAGCCAACAGGTCCAAAGTCACTCAGGCTCATTGACCCATACCTGCTGCTCCTCTGGGAGTCCCTCTTTTAGCAAACTGCACCATCAACCATTCAATTACTCAAATCAGAAACCCAGGCATCATTCAGGACAAATTCCTCTCTTACTATCTCCCACTCCAACCCATCTAATCTCTTACAAAATCCTGTCAATTTTATCTCCTAATCTGTCCACTTCTAACTTCCTCCATTCCTAATCCATTCTAGGCTACCATATTATTTCATTTGAACCGTAGTAGTGGCCTCCTAGCCATTGTGCCTAAACTCATTTTACCACCCTCCCAAAATCTATTGTTAGCTAGAGATCTCTTCTAAAAGCAAATCTGATAATATTAACCTCCTGCTTAAACCCTCAGTGGCCTCCTGCTGATTTTAGAATAAAAACTAAACATGGCCTAGACCTTGTTTATCTCTCCACCCTCACTTTGTGACATGTTTTCTTTTATTCTCTTCCCACCTCACTGGCCTTCTTTCTTATCTTTCACTACAGAACTTTCGTGCATCCTGTTTCTCCTTTTATCTAGTTAGCTATCCTCATTCTTCAGTGCTCAATGCAAGTATCACCTTCCCAGGAAAACTTTAGAACATCAGGTTCCTCGGAAATAGTTTCTTATAAGACCATATTGCCATTTGCGGTAGCACTTGTCACAGTTACCATCTTAATTTTGTTAATATTATTATTCAGGTATTGTTTGTGTTCTGCATTAGGCTGTTAAGTTTCATTTAGTTTTTCTCATAATCGTATGACAATGCCTAGCACAGTGCCTGGCTCACGGTGAACATTCAACAGATATTTGTAGAATGAATGGATAAAAAAAAAAGGTACTATTTTAAAGAAAGGTACTATTATTAACCCCACGTTACATCATGAAGAAATTAAGGTTCGGAGAGGTTAAGTCATGTACCCAGCTAAGAAGTGGCTGAGTCAAAATCTGAACCTGCTTTTCTGATTCTAGACCCTGCAATGCTTAAGCAGCACTCTGCTTTTCCAAGTGAACCAAACACCAAAACCAGACCTACTCACAGCTTTCTAAGGACACCAGTTCCCTGCAGCTATATCTGCATACTCTTGGAAATTTTTTTTATTAAAACAGGATCTTGAAAATCAGAACAAAACCCTAGAATCAGCCAGGCACAGTGGCTCACACCTGTAATCCCAGCACTTTGGGAGGCCGAGATGGGAGGATTACTTAAGGCCAGAAGTTCAAGACCAGTCTGAGAAATATACTGAGACCCTATCTCTACAAAAAAAAGTTTAAAAAGTAATTAGCCAAGCATGGCGGCACTCACCTGTAGTCCTAGGTACTTGGGAGCCTGAGGTGGGAGGATCACTTGAGCCCAGGAATTCGAGGCTACAGTGAGCTAAAAAGGTGCCACTGCACTGCAACCTGGGCAACAGAGCAAAGCCCTGCCTCTAATATATATATAAAAACAAAATTTATTTTTAAAAAATTCTAGAATCCTGAATCTATCCAAGTCACACAGCAAGGTCGTAACAGATTTAGGGTTAGAACTCCTAGCCCCAAACTCAATGCTTTGCACCCTGAATTCTATATACTCACCCTACCTCCACTGCCAGGGCAGGAGCTCAGTGTCCGAGGGACAAAGTTCAATCTGTCAAAAGCAGTGCTTCCAAACTTTTTTGAGTGTGGTTAATTTGTAATTGGTGAAGCAGTGTGGGCAGGAGAGCAAGAGATCCCTGGATCCACCTATTCCAACTTTCCAGGATTAAAAACAAAACAAAACAAAGCTCAATGTTATCAACTAAGGGCTATCCGACAAGCAAATTTAGGAGGACTCATATATCTATTCTAGCAGTAGCAGTGTGGCTGCTTCTGACTTGAACCATAATAACTTTCTTTGTCCCCGGCAGGCATGGTACTAAACCCATTAACTGCCTTATCTTTTCTTGTTTATACAGTTCCATGAGGGAAGTTCCATGATTAGTCCCACTTTACAGATAAAAAAACTGAGGTTCAGAGACATTGAGATTTATCCAAAATTACAAGGTCCATGAGGGACAGACTGGGGACTTATCTCCAAATGCTCTATGCTCTTAACCACTGTGCTGTGCTTCCTCAAAAACAAACAGCTATATCTATGTGCCTTAAAGCCTAGTAATTAGAAATGTATCCCTTTCACTGCTGTTTGCCTGGTACATTTATCACGTCTTTAAAAAAAAATAGTGTAATAAAAACAAACATGAGGTATTCTATATGTTTAGATATTGAGAGATACTTTTTTTTTTTTCTTTTAGACAGAGTCTCGCTGTGTCCCCCAGGCTGGAGTTCAGTGGCGTGATCTCGGCTTACTGCAAGCTCTGCCTCCCAGGTTCACGCCATTCTCCTGCCTTAGCCTCCCGAGTAGCTGGGACTACAGGCGCCTGCCACCATGCTGGCTAATTTTTTTTTTTTTTTTTTTTATGAGACGGAGTCTCGCTCTGTCGCCCAGGCTGGAGAGCAGTGGCGCGATCTTGGCTCACTGCAAGCTCCACCTCCCCGGGTTCACGCCATTCTCCTGTCTCAGCCTCCCCGGTAGCTGGGACTACAGGCCCCTGCAACCACGCCCGGCTAATTTTTGTATTTTTAGTAGAGACGGGGTTTCACTGTGTTAGCCAGGATGGTCTCGGTCTCCTGACCTCGTGATCCGCCCACCTCGGCCTCCCAGAGTGCTGGGGTTACAGGTGTGAGCCACCGCGCCCGGCCTTAATTTTTTGTATTTTTAGTAGAGACGGGGTTTCACCGTGTTAGCCAGGATGGTCTCAATCTCCTGACCTCGTGATCTGCCCGCATCGGCCTCCCAAAGTGCTGGGATTACAGACGTGAGCCACCGCGCCCAGCCCGAGATGCATTATTAAGGCCAAAAATAATGCCATGGTAGACTATGTGTAATCTCCTATTGTACTGAAAAGTACACATGAACTTCTGGAAGGATATACAATACATAGTTAATCAGTTGGAAGTGGGCTTGGAGAGGCCATAAGCAGGGAGCACCCTTATACCATTGACTTCTCCACTTCATAAGCAATTATTACTTGTATAATTTTTTTTTTTTTTTTTGAGATGGAGTTTCACTCTTGTTGCCCAGGCTGGAGTGTAATGGCACGATCTTGGCTCACCACAACCTCTGCCTCCTGGGTTCAAGCGATTCTCCTGCCTCAGCCTCCCGAGTTGCTGAGATTACAGGCATGCACCACCACGCCCGGCTAATTTTGTATTTTTAGTAGAGACGGGGTTTCTCCAATTGGTCAGGCTGGTCTCGAACTCCCGACCTCAGGTGATCCGCCTGCCTCGGCCTCCCAAAGTGCTGGGATTATAGGCATGAGCCACTGCGCCTGGCCTACTTGAATAATTTTTTAAGCTGAACAATATATTGTAAATGTAAATATACATCATTTCACAGCATAGTTAACTAAAAACCCGCCACAAAGTAAATTGATCCAAGACTAGCAGCAATTTAATTCCCTGTTCACACTCAAGCCAAGACTCATGACAGTGAGACTGTGCAGGCAAGAGAGAAGCAATGCAGGCACTGAGGTCAGACTGATCAGGGCTCAAATCCCCGTTTCCACCACTTACCAGCTTTATGACTTAAGGTGTGTTGTTTAACCTCTGAACCTCCCCAGCCTCCTCCCAGACCCTCAAGAGTCAAGTGAAGGAGAGACAAGTAAGATGTAAAAGTACAACGCTCTGAGTGCTATGGGAGGGAAAATACGAGTTATTACAGGAAGCCAGAGAGGGGGCATCCAGCCCAGGCGGAGGAGTCTGGGAAAAGACACCAAGGAGGAAACCCCCGAGCTGAGCCTTTTTTTTTTTTTTTTTTTTGAGACAGAGTTTCGCTCTTGTCACCCAAGCTAGAGTGCAATGGCACAATCTCGGCTCACTGCAACCTCTGCCTCCCGGGTTCAAGTGATTTTCCTGCCTCAGCCTCCCAAGTAGCTGGGATTACAGGCACGTGCCACCACGCCTGACTAATTTTTTGTATTTTTAGTAGAAACTTGGTTTCATGATATTGGCCAGGCTGGTCTTGAACACCTGACTTCAGAAGAACCTCAGTTTCCTCACCTGCAAAATGGAATAGTACTGCCTTACAAAGCAGTGATAAGGATAAGAGTGCTAATGCATGTCAAGTACTTTGTACAGAACGTGGCAGGTAGTGAGCAGTCACTAGGGCTAGTAGCCATTTTTAGGCACTGATAACAGAACATTCTTCCCCCATTACAGGAATTCCAACTATGCTCATGGTTGGGTGTTAGGAAATGTAAGATTGCCCAGGGTCAAGGGACAGTCAGGCTTCTGAGTAGTAAGAAAAGGGCTAATGGCCTTTTAATTTTTCAGTCTGTGTGTCACCCATGAGGCTTCCAGGATCTGTAGCTATTCCTCAATAATTATTAGCAATTTGACCTGAGGAGAAAGTTTTCTGCCTGTGAACCTTTGAGGGTGGGGTGAGTTTGAGAAATAGATGGCCCAAGCTTTAGTTTCATTCCCATCCATCCCCTGCCGCCAACTCCCTGCCAGGAAATTTACAAGCTTAGAAAGTTTAATCAATCGCAGGAATTTTTACAGGTGAGTTTACCTAAGGTGGAGTTGGAACTGCTGTGAGCTCACAATTCCTTAACCCAAATTCTGAAATCTAAAATACTCTGAAACCAAAAGTTTTTTTGTAAGCCTAAGGAGAACTCATTAAGAGGAAGACCCTGACCTAAACCACCATAAGGTTACTTAACATCTTTATTGATCACACTTAGGATGACTAGTCATACATTTTACTGAAGAGATATTGATGTGCTTGGTTATGTGGTGCTGCCACAGACCTCACCAAGGATTTTATATAGCATACAGTAGGTGCACCATATTTCCTTGTTAAAATCTGAAAAAATCCGAATTCTGGAAAACATCTGGTGCCAAGAGTTTCAGATAATAGTCTGACTGTGAACCTATATTTCTAGACAGGACTTCAGGTTTTCCTTGTCCACATCCCAGCTTCTTTCTATCATTCATCGCAGGGTCATCTGTGGGGGCAGAAGAACGTGGCTAAAGACTCAGAGGTTTGGGGGCCCTATAGTAGGGCTGTCAGCACCATGGATAGCAAAACAGCCCCTGAGCGGCTGCCAAACAAATTTGCTGACATCTTGGACTCAGCTTTTCCTACTAAAGAGAGATTGACACAATGAAGCTTGCCTGAGAAATGCAACCAATTGTTTGCTAATAGTAAAACACAAGGTATAGGGGTGGGAGCTGGGGGATAGTTGATGTGGTCCAGGCAGAGGAAATAAATGTGTTTCTTATCTTTTTCCTCCAGCTGGTTCCAGGCTCTTCTCCTCTGACATTATTAAAAGCCTGGCAGGTACTTTGAATGTTTGTTTCCATCTAGTTTCCTTGCCATTCTAATCTGCAAATACTCTTAGCTAGTTTCCTTTCTTGCATGTTCTGTGTTGTCTAGCCACTAAATTTTCCCAGCCTCACCTGCCTGGCAACCAGGTACATGAGTAAGACCTTGTTAGAAGTGGACAGCAAGTTTCTGCTGGACTTCTTCCAGCCCTGGTCATTCTAACAAAAGAGATGTGAAGTAAGCCACAAGTCTCCACTGTTGTTCATGATCGATTTATCATTAGGTACTTGAGGAGGAAAAGAGGGGCTACAGTGAGGTGGTTTCCTTTACTACTAAGTGAAGTCATGCCCTGCCTCAATGATTTGAGTCCCCTGTCACTGAAATCCATGCCTCAAACAGCAGGCATGAGGTCCCAGGACATCAGAGCTGCAAGGGCCTTAGAGCTTATATGCTGGAGGCAGTAGAGGCAGAATGGTTGCTTTTCTTTATTCAGCAAACATCTATTAAGTGTTTACTTATGTCAGGCATAAGCTAGGTACAAGGGATAGAAATACACCCCCAACCTCCTCCCAGAAACTCAGAGTCAAGTGAAGGAGAGACAAGTATGATGTAAAAGTACAACGCTCTGAGTGCTATGGGAGGGAAAATACGAGCTATTACAGGAAGCCAGAGAGGGGGCATCCAGCCCAGGCAGAGGAGTCTGGGAAAAGACACCAAGGAGGAAACCCCTGAGCTGAGCTTTTTTTTTTTTTTTTTTTGAGACGAGTTTCGCTCTTGTCGCCCAAACTGGAGTGCAATGGCATGATCTTGGCTCACTGCAACCTCTGCCTCCCAGGTTCAAGCGATTTTCCTGCCTCAGCCTCCCGAGTAGCTGGGATTGCAGGCGCGTCCCACCACGCCTGACTAATTTTTTGTATTTTTAGTAGAAACTTGGTTTCATGATGTTGGCCAGGCTGGTCTTGAACACCTAACTTCAGAAGATCCGCCCGCCTCGGCCCCCCAAAGTGCTGGGATTACACGTGTGAGCCACTGCACCCAGCTGAGCTGAGCTTTTAATGGTGAGTGGGTTGGCCAGACGTGGTGGCTCACACCTGTAATCCTAGCACTTTGGGAGGCTGAAGCAGGAGGATCACTTGAAGCCAGGAGTTTGAGACCAGCCTGGGAAACAAAGTGAGACCCTGTCCCTACAAAAATAAATAATAAATAAATAAATTAGCCAGGTATGGTGGCACATGCCTATAATTTCAGCATTTTGGGAGGCTAAGGCAGGAGGATTGCTTGAGCCAAGGAGGTCAAGGCTGCAGTGAGATATGATGGCACCTCTGCACTCCAGCCTGGGCGACAGAGCAAGACACTATCTCTTAAAAAAAAAAAAAAAAATGAGTGGGGTAAGGGATTTCAAGGAAGCAGAATGGCACATGCAAAGGGAGTACTCTGGAGAACCCAGACTTGTTATCTCTTTGTACATATATGTATTTGTCCTTATTCCACAGCTAAAATCATCCCGTCTTTGCTGGCCAGAGCAATATCTCATATCTCTTTGTATCCCCAGAACCTACCCTGTTTTCTGTGTATAGTAAATGCTTTCTCAGTGGCTCTCAGTGATAATGGGTTTGAGGCCTCACACTATCAGAACTGTAGCCAAGTAGAGGATTTTACAGCAGAAACCAGAAAATTATGGTAGAAACTTGGACACACTCACTCTATGCCTCTAACACTTGCTGTGCTGCAGCAAGGAGGAACTCCTGACGGCTCTAGCAAACTGCAGAAATCAAAACTGCTCCTCACTTTCCACGGCTGAAAGTTCCTCTGGAGAGTGTGTGGCCTCACACAAAGTCCCCTGTACATGTTCCCAAGAAGATTTAGTGTGAGCCCCAGTTCCAGCAGTCGTCAGCTCAGTGATGCTGGGAGAACATTCCATGACCTGTCTGAGCTGCTGACTTTCTACCTACAAAAATAGAACTTATTACTGGGTTACCTACCCCAATGCATATTACGGAGGTAAAAAGAAGAGTAGTCAGATTCACAGCAAGCACTTTGAAAACACAAAACATCACTACTATCAGAAGCTATCATTCTACTGGGTAAGGAATCACAAAGCCCAGACTCCCCTGCCAACCAGCTGTTGGCCCTGGCCAACTCTTCTCTCTGGGCCTCATTTCTTTCCCTGTGGTTGAATTCTACAGAAGATTCTTGAAGATCTTACATTGTTCCACGATTTGGTTTGCAAACTGGAAGCTTTAAGCAGCCTTTGTACACTGTGCTCTGGAACAGTTGAGCTTTAATCTTGTTTTTATGTCCTGATGCTTGTCCATTGGCACCAAAACTCCCAGTATTGGCTGATTGAATTGAAGCAGGGATAGGCCTGGTTGTCCCTGGAAGACTGCAATGGCTACAGCCCAAAGAAGTACTCTTGGCTGGAGCCTTGAGGATGGAGGGCAAGGCCAGGCAGGGAGAGAGATTCAAGTTGCAAACCCAGGAAAAGTCTTCCCCTAGATTTTTTTTTTTTTTTTTTTTTTTTTTTTGAGACGGAGTCTCACTCTGTTGCCCAGGCTGGAGTGCAGTGGCACGATCTCGGCTCACTGCAAGCTCCGTCTCCTGGGTTCACTCCATTCTCCTGCCTCCGCCTCCCGAGCAGCTGGGACTACAGGCACCCACCACCACGCCCGGCTAATTTTTTTTTTTTTTTTAGTAGAGATGGGGTTTCACTGTATTAGCCAGGATGGTCTCGATCTCCTGACCTCATGATCCACCTGCCTCGGCCTCCCAAAGTGCTGGGATTACAGGTGTGAGCCACCGCGCCCAGCCTGCCAGCTTCCCCTAGATTTTCAGTGTTTAACTGAAGAAAATGGTTTCTATAACATTGAAGAAAAACATTGCAGCTTAGCAGAATGAAATGAATTAAATCCCTTACCAGTTTGCTGTGTAGAAACTCTCTCTCTCTCTCTCATATCTGCCCTCTCTTTATCATGCCTCGTCACTCATTCACTTTCCCCTCCCAGTTTCCTGACCCTTCTGGATGTTCCAGCTTGCCTTGATCTCTTCCCCTTTCCTCCCCAAGTCATCTCCTCTGCCACCTCTTTCTCCCCCTCCACTGTGTTTCCCACTCCCTGCATCCTCCCCACTGCTTTTTATTTGCCTTCCTTTTTTCTGTGAGGATCACTAGGGCTGTAAGGAGAACATAATCCTTTAGAAATGTGACCTCATTTACTATTATTCTCCCACCGAGGCAGGCCAGGGGTAGAGGTCACTCCCCAATCCCACCACTGTTCCTGCTGGGAGTAAAGATTTTGAGAGAGAGGATGAGTCTTCAAAGGGTACCCAATGCAGCAATCATTCACTCAATGGATATTTATTTTTATTTAAGCTTTAAAATAATTTTAAGGTAGTGCATGCATATTGCAGAGAGTTAGAAAATACAAAAACAGGATAAAGAGGAATGTTTAAATGAACCAAAGTTACCTCCATCAAGGGACAACCCTTAATAGCATTTTGTTTTAATTCCTCCTAAGATTTTTATGGGCTTTTTGGCATACTTGTTGTTATATTATATGTGCAATTTTGTAACCTGCTTTTTTCCACTTCATTTCATAACATAAGCATTTCTCCCATGATATTGCAAACTCTTAAAATATCATTTAAATTTGTGTACCCATTGCCCTATTTTTTGGACATTTATATATGTTCCAATTTTTCTGTAATGATAATACTGTGATGGCTAGTTTTGTGTGCAAAGCTTACATAGTTAGTATGGTATTAAGGTTAAGAGTGAGGCCTTGAAGCCAGGCTGCCTGGGTTGGAATCTGGGCTCTGTCCTTACAAGCCATAAAACCTTGGGTAAATTATATGTCCCAGTTTTCACATCTGCATAATAGGGATGATAATGGTACCTACCTTGTGGGGTTGTTAGAATTAAATCAGATTGCCAGGCACAGTGGCTCCCGCCTGTAATCCCAGCAGTTTGAGAGGCTGAGGTGGGCGGATCACCTGAGTTCAGGAGTTCAAGACCACCCTGGGCAACACGGTGAAACACCGCCTCTACTAAAATACAAAAAATTAGCCAGGTGTGGTGGGTGCGTGCCTATAATCTCAGCTACTTGAGAGGCTGAGGCACGAGAATCACTTGAGCCCAGGAGGTGGAGGTTGCAGCGGGCCAAGATTGCACGACTGCACTCCAGCCTGGGTGACAGAGCAAGACTCCGTCTCAAAAAAAAAAAGGAATTAAATCAGATTATTTATCTAAACAAGTGCCTGGCATGTAGTAGTTACTCAAAAAATGTTACCTATTAATATTGTCTTAGGATGGTTTCCCAGTAGTGAACTTACTCTGTCCCTTGATACAGGGTACCAAATTGCTTCCAAAAAAGAGCAAACATGTATTACAAACCTACCATGCTTTGAACCTAGGTGTGCCTGATGCAAAGAATCCTGCTCATTCCACCAGCCCCCCACAGCATCTCCTCAGGCAAGGGTTAGAGATCTCAATGATTGTTCTCCTAGCGCCAAAGAAATGAAGTATTGTTAAGATGAAATGAAACAGTGTATAGAGCATCTGCACAAGACCTGGCACTTATTAAATTATTTAAGAATCAATACAAATCATATTTTATAGTAAATGTTTACATCGTAGATTTAATAGATAATTCATTGAGATAGTACATTTTTAAAAACTCTTAACACAGTTCCTGGCACATGGCAGGAGCTCAAAAAAGTCTACCGTCCATCCATCTCTCCTTCTGTCTCTTTTTTTTTTTGAGACAGAATCTCCCTCTGTCCCCCAGGCTGGAGTGCAGTGGTGCAATCTCGACTCACTGCAACCTCCACCTCCCGGGTTCAAACAATTCTCCTGCCTCAACCTTCTGAGTAGCTGGGACTACAGGCATGCCACCACACCCAGCTAACTTTACTATTTTTAGTAGAATCAGGATTTCACTATGTTGGCCAAGCTGGTCTCGAACTCCTGACCTCAAGCAATCCACCTGCCTTGGCCTCCCAAAGTGAGGGGATTACAGGCGTGAGCCACCTCACCTAACCTTCTCCTTCTACCTCTATTGTACCTCTCTCTCAATAGCTCTCCAGTGCCCAACCTGGCTCAGTGTGCCTTCACTACTCTAGCTGTTAACATTCTCATTGACATGACAGAGCCCTGCCATCATAGCACAGTTAGGGCCCACAGTTTGTGCTGGAATAACAGGCTTGGGAGCCAGAGGGAGAGGATTATATACCAGGGTGTGGAGGAGAGATGGGATGAAGGCTTCAGTGAAACCAAATATGTGTTTGCTGTAATGCACAGCCTTACATGGGTGCCCCAAGCACTGCTTGCTGCTGGGACCATGGGCGACCAGGGATCAAGAAGCTGATAACTGCAAGTAGTGTGGCCTCATTGGCTTATCCCTTCTTCTCCCTTTCTCTCTCTCTCTCTCTCTCACACACACACACACACACACACACACACACACACACACACCTTCCAAGGCATAAGAAGAGGAGAGTCCTTGGGAGTGGGTGTTCTGGCAAAAAGGAAACAGTAGGCTGAGTGTTTCCCCTTCTCTCTGGGCATTTTTTCACTTCCCCCTCTGCTTGCAGACCCTGCTAGCCCCCAGGGTGGTGCTCCCAGTGCTCCTCCCTCCCTCACCTGTTCACTCTTGGGTTCCCTTAACCCAGCTGAATTAGGCTGCAATCTTCAAAAGGAACATGAGAAAAATTAAGATAAAACAAAAGAGAAATGAACAGAGCATATTGAAAGGCTCAGCCTTTGAGTTCAGCAAGTCCAAGTTCCTGATCTAGCGGAGAAGTTGGGGACTTGCACCATCACATTCCATCTGAGGGTGGCATGTCCAGAGATTCTCTGTACATTTTGAAGTTATTTCCTCTTGTTTCTCTTTCTGCTCCCTCATTAAATGTCACAATTCCTTGGACAATGATGCAGATGAGTAAGATTTCTGGGGTAGACAGTGGGGGAAAAAATCAGCTTTGGCATCACACAGACCCGGCTTCAAATCTTGCCCAGTCATTTGCTGAGTGTATGAATCTAGTATATTAATTTAACTTCCATGAGCCTTTATTAAAAACAAACTTATTGAATTATTTTGAGGATTAAAAGATAAAACTGTCTAATACAGAGTAGACAGTCAAAATGGACTCTTTTTCATGTCCTGGACCAAAGAGTATAACAAGTTCTCCAGCTTCCCCAAGGATGTTTTCTTAGTACCAATAACCTTTTGCCTTCCAGAGCCCTGCCTCCCCAGACCCACAGGAAGGCACAAGGAAAGTTCTTCCCTTTACACAGAGGGAGAAAGGCTCACTTTCCAAGCTCAGAAAGCCATTCTTGGGGCAAACACACCCTACCTTACATATACACACACACACACGCACATGCAAAAATACACACATGCACAAAGATGGGAGCAGTCCTGGGTCCTGGTCTTAGCTCTTTAAAGGGCTCCAATCAGGGATTTGCAGGAGCTTGGGGCCCACTCTGCATTGTCCCAGTTCAGGGTGAAGGCAAAGAAGGCCTCTTTCTGCAACTCCCCCAGCCCCATCACACTGGCTCTGGCTTCAAGGGCAGGAAGAAGGCAGGATTATGCATCAGTTTCATTTTTTTTCTTTTGGCTTGGTATTGATCTCTGACTATTTTTTCCAAGTTGGAAGTTACTTAGCTTCTCTGGTTACTTAGCTTCTAGTTTTCCTCATCTGTAAACTGGGAATTATACATGTTTATAAGAATGAAATGAGATAATGGCAAAGCAGATGCTTCAAAAATTGCTGTGTGTTGAGCAGCAATTGCACCACTGCACTCCAGCCTGGGTGACAGAGTAAGACTCTGTCTCAAAAAAAAAAATTGTAGTGTGCAAGCAAATATAAAGAATGCTAGGCCGGGCATGTTGGCTTACGCCTGCAATCCCAACACTTTGGGAGGCCAAGGCGGGTGGATCAATTGAGGTCAGGAGTTCAAGGCCAGCCTGGCCAACATGGTGAACCCCATCTCTACTAAAAATACAAAAATTAGCTAGGTATGGTAGCACACACCTGTAATCCCAGCTACTTGAGAGGCAGAGGCAGGAGAATCGCTTGAACCTGGGAGGCGGAGGTTGCAGTGAGCCGAGATCATGCCATTGCACTCTAGCCTGGGTGACAGAGTGAGACTCTGTCTCAAAAAAAAAAAAAGAATGCGTATTCTTCCGCTCATTTTCATTTTGTTACCATATCAGGTGAAAGAACCCTGCCATCTGCTTGCCACTGTTGATAAGCCCCACCCTGGCACCCCCAACCTCTCACACATATACGCTCACTCATCCTTGCTCCAGCAAAGTGGGAAAGTGCCAAGAGTGCAGGTTACTCTGCCAGGGTGCAAATGCTCACATGCCCCGAGCAGCCTGCGGATGCCAGAGTTAGTGGTGGAGTTCAGAGCTGTGCAGTCTGCGGTGGCTGGATTCCTTCACTTTATGCTCTGGTTCTACCTCTCAAATTGGCAGTAGCTCACCCACTCTGCTCCCCAGGCTTGAGTGAGTGTGTGCCTGGCAGGAAAGCAGGGAATCGGGCGGGACCGGTGCTAAGAACTCTCCTCATCTTCTTTCCTGGGCATGAATCAGTGTGTTTCTAAAGAAATGGCTTCTTCCGTTTTGCAGTCTCCTATGGAAAAAAGAAGTGAGCAGCTGTGGTAATGTACTTCCAAAGCCCCCCAAATAAGAAGTTTAAAAGACAGACAACTCTAGACTTCATTGCTGGGGGTCTGCCTCAAACCAAAGGGCCTGACTCAGAAGCAGTAAGGGTTTCCAGGGTTCTCTCTAGCATTAAGGGTCAAGAATTTGTTCCCACTATTTGCTTACAGCCACATATGCACCCTTCCTTGGAACTGTGTCATCCTGGAGCCATATCCATGAGTGCAGGATTTGGCTGATGGGCAGTCCAAAGGCCCACCTCTCCTGTCCTCTGCCAGACAATCCCTCCTTTAGCCAGGGATTTGTGGGTCACAGCCATATGGCCTTGGCCGTGAGCTCAACTCCGAGGTAGAGGGCTCACTAGGCCAGGGGTGGGGCTCACCTGTCCTCTTAAGGGAAGCATCTCTTCCAGTGTGTGGCCTATTGAAGTAGTAGTGGGGCAGGCCTCTCTATGCTTGGTGCTGATTTACATTCCCTAGAGAACACTGTGAGGCAATCAACCCCTTGTAAAAAGAACCAAGAGTTTATGCATGAAAAAGCTTATGAAGGGAAGTCCCCAGGTGGGAAGAGATTAGCAGCCGGAGCTGACTCCAACTAAAACAGAACCCTCTAGGGTTGGATTTCACTTAAGGAATGTCAGAGATGTGGGAGGAGAAGAGGACACGAGGGCATCCCCTCCCAGGTTTTCAGCCAGTGCCTACTCTGTCCCTTACCTGTGGTCCTCACCCTAGTCCCAGCGAGGATGCTTGCTACCTCCAGGTGAGCTTCCAGGGCTGCTCTGCCCCAGTCAGCTCTCCTGGCCCAAGTCTGGGCCTTTCCCTTTTCCATTCAGATAATCAAGACAAGATGGGAGGAGCCTTTTTAGCTGAAGAAAATTTTCTAGGAACCAAAGGGAAAATAAAATTTTAAAAAAAGAGAGAGTGCCTAGAAACTGAGGGGCTATGGTGCTAAGCAGCATTACCCAAGGTAAGCAGTTTGCTCCCCTCCTGATGCCCTCTGGTAAATAGCATTAGCTTCCCAGCAGCAGGAGCCCCCAGTGTTACCCTTCTGGACTTGCTCCCTTCCCCACAACCAATCTCTCCTCTCTGTTTTCACCCAGAAGTGTCTTAAATCCGTTCCCTGCTCCCGTCCTGTTGACTCTGCCTTGCTCAAGTTCTCACCACCTCTTTCCTGGGCTCTGGTGGAGCTTCCTCATCAGTCCTCCAGGCTCATCTGTTCACTCCGGCCTTCCTACCAACAATCCCCTCCTCCCATGGCCTGCCTGGTGACTGTCTCATCCTTTAATAAAACTCAGACCTTCTCCAGGAAGCCTCCTGGGACTTCCCCAGGCAGGGTGAGTTGTTTTCTTCTCTGGCACTCTTCACTTACTCCATGACAGCATTTATCACAAGGTGTTGGAATTGCTGGTCAACATGTCTATGGACCGCATCCCCTTCATTGCAGCTCCTTCAAAGGCCTGGACAATGGTTTATACTTTCCATTCTTGGTGTCTAACAGAGGGGTTGATTTTCATTACATGGCAGGAAATGCTTGATGGAAAAAGGAAGGGAGGGATAAAGAGAGAATGGAAAAAGAATGGAAACTTTGCATGGTTGTAGATTCTTCAGTCCCTAAGCCACCCCTGTACCTTGTGAGAGGTAAAGGTTAGTTTCCCGGGAAGAAATTCTTATCACTGCATTACCCACTGTTCTCTGTCACAAGCATCATACATTGCTGATTGCACTTATAGTTTCTTCAGAGCTATTGAATTATAAGAAAGCAAAGGCCCAGGAAGATTAGGCGACTGCCTAAGGTCGCACAGCCAATTAATGACAAAGGCGAGACTAGAACCTGGGTCTCCTGGCACCAGGCCAGGGCCCTTGATACAACACCAACAGCCTCTCTTTGAGTTTTCCCTCCAGGCAGCAGCATGTAATTATCAACATTAGTATTTAGAATTTATATGCGGCTTTTGCTTCACTGGCTTTTTTATTATCCTTTCAATTAGTATTTCAGTATGCAGCCCAGGCATGGAGCACAGCCAGGGTGGGGAGGGGAGCAGCAGAGGGAGGCCAAGGCCAAGTAGGTGGCCATGAGCCCCTGTGAGAGGAAGGCCAGAGAAAGCAAAGGTACAGGAGGGTGGCCTGACATCAGAGACAATGTCTTGTGTGTGTGTCTGTGTGTGTCTATGTGTGTCTGTGTTGTGTGTGTGTCTGTATGTCTGTGTTTTGAGGAGGAGGGTGTCTGTGAAGATGAAGTATGGGCCTGAGATGAGTGGTCCAAGACCCTTGCTGGCCTCAGGGGGCTTCTCACTGCATTATCCACTAATGGGGCAGAGACAGGAAGAGCAATAATATATTTAGCACCCAACAAGTTAAACACCAATACCAGCCCTGAGACAGACCCCAGGATAAGGGAGTTCTCTGTCCTGCCTTGAAGGGAAGGAGACCCAAGCCCCATGATGTGGACTTGCTCCTGGCTCCTACTGTGCACTCTAGGAGCTACACCGAACTGTGCCAGATGCCCACATCCTGTGGGAGTGAAGGAGTCCTGGAGTCCACCATGCTATGTGCTATAGCATCCTCAGCTGGATGCTAGGAGACTAGTGGATGCTAGTGGAATCCCACTGCCAGACCCTGGTTCCTTGTGTCTTCCAGCCCCAGCTGCAGCCTGCTCTGTGGTTTACTTTGCAAACCCACACTTACCTTCAGAAAATGAGAATACTCTCTCCTCCTGACCTCCTGGGACTTTGGTGAGACTCAAGACCTTGTGAAGGCGCTCGAAGAATAGGTTCATCCACTGGTAACACTCAAGATAGGGCATCCCCATGCAAAAAAAAAAAAAAAAAAGGAAACGCAGGTGGAGGTGGATAAAGAGCAGCACAGGGTGGAGACAAAGCAGCCAAAAGGCCTGCATTCGGATCTCAGGGCTCTTGCTGGGAAAACTCAGGGGGACGCTCACTCACTGAGTGCCTATTGAGTGCCAATGTGTCACGTATGTCATCTCATTTTGTCCTCATATGACCCCTCACTTTGTCCATGAGGAACCTGAGGCTTTAAGAGGTTAGGTAACTTGCTCGAGGTTATACAGCAAGTGGGACCCTAGGACCAAAACTTAGGTCCATGAGCTTTAAAACCTGTGCCCTTCCCAGCACAGCACTGAATCTCCAAATCACAGGATTTCATCCTTGTGAGCCCAGCGTCCTGGTCTGCAAAATTGGAGGGGGAAGGGGGACAGGGGGAGGGGGGCAGGGGGAGGGGAAGAGGGGAAGAGGGGCACTATATTGCCTAATAGAGTTGTTAAGAAAATTAAATGAGCTTATGTTGATTAAACACATTATCGGGCTTGGTATCTGGTATATAGTAGGTGCTCAATAAATGCTTTCTGTTTGTTTTTCTTTTTAGGGCAGATCAATGTTAAAAACTCAGGGCTGGCTTTGGAGCCTAGGAGCTCCAAAATGCTTCAAGAAGCCCAAGGGCCTCCCATCGCTCTGGGGTGCGCGGGAGGAGGGGAGAGAAGGGCTGGGAAAGAGGGCTCGGCTCCAGGAAGCGGGTACGCGGGTTCCAGCTGCGCGCCCCTCGCTTCGCCGCCTCCTCCGGGCTCCCCCGACTTCCCGCCCCGCCCCGCCCCGGAGCCGGGTCCGGAGTGCCTGGTGGGCTGATTCCGGAGCGTGGAAGGGAGCACGGAGCACGGAAGCGAGAGGGAGGCGGCGGCGGCGGGAGGCGGGAAGGAGGGGGACCCTCCTCGCTGCTCTCCCAAGTCGGCGCGGAGCCGCCTCGGGCCGGGCCGAGGGCTGCGCGGCGGCGGCGGCGGCGGGGCCCGGCCAGGATGCGGGGCTCCCGGGACCGCGCGGGGCGGGGCGGGCGGCGGCGGCGGGCTGCGGGCGGGAGCTGTCCGCGGTGCTGAAGCGGCGGCTGCTCAGGGACGCGGGGACGAGAGCAGGGGAGCCCTCCTGGGAGTTCCACCGCGACCGCGAGGCGGGGGCGCCGTCGCTCACCGGCCCATGCCGAGCCCCCGAGCCCCGCGGAGGAGGCGGGACCGTCCGCGGCGGGACAGGTAAGGGGCGGTCTGGGGGCGCCGCGGGAGCGCAGAGCTAGGCACGGAGCGGGGAGTGAGCTGGGGAGGGCACGGGAGCCCTCTCGGGGCTAGGGGCTCTGACTCCCTGCTTGGCCGCACCTTGCGCTCCGCCAAGGCTTGCACTTCGTCCCTCCCTACCCCTCATCCTGCAGGCTGGGGGTGCTGGGAGGGGGCTGATGAACTGGGGTCAAGACACCATAACCTCACAACATCAGGCCTTGACCCTGACCTCAGGCAGCTCCTAGACATCCTGCCTACTGACGGCAAGAAATACTGATTAGAGCCTCAGACTCCCTGGTACCCCAGTCCCCACCAAGGTTTTGCGACACTAGCAAAATCTGAGCAGGCTTCACTAAGCTCCCCTCTTCTCGCACCCAAACCTGTTCACCCAGGTGACTGAGGTGGCTGTGGTACCCCCTGCTCTGAGATTTCTCTGCCCTGGAAATGGCTCTTGGGCCAAGGGATTGGCTCTTGGGCCAAGGCCCCTTAGGATGGATTAACCCATTTCTTCAGGGAAGGAAGGAGGTCCTGGAAGATACCTCAATTTTTTTTCCTATGACACTCTTGACGCTCACAGAAGCAGGCAGGATTTGCATCACATCTCTTGGCGCATGAGGGCAAAGAGTCAGGGAACCTGGGTCCTGTTTTCTATTATGTGCTGGTGACCCTAGACAGAGCCTCCATTAGGAGTTCTCTCTCTTTCTGGCAAGAGTGCGCTGAATGAGCTCATTCAGGCCTGCAAAGTGCTTCTAGTTCTTCAGAGCAGAGTTCTCTATGACTGGCAGAATGTAGCGATCAAAATAAAACTGCGTGGAGGAAGAATTGGCCTACCCTTGTGGCTGACCACTTCTTTCTACTGCTTTATCCCCACCCTCCAACCCAACACAACTTCCCTACCCCCAGGGGTAGAAAGAGCACTAGAGTAGGAGTTCCTGGCTGGGTGCTGGCATTTACTGGCTTTAGCTAGTTCCCTAAGCTCTTTCAACCTCATCCTCCTCACCCCTGGAGTGGGGATAAGGTCACCGCTCTGCTCACCTCAGGGAACTGCCTTGGGGCCCAATGAAAAACAATGCACCTGATTGGAGGCTTGCCACCTGTACATCTCCATACCAGTGTGCGCTGCTGTCACTGTTCCCAACCCCTAGCCAGGCCTGCTGTCAGTGACCTGATTATTGTCACCCCTACCCCCTCTTCTCCCAGCATGGCCATGTCTCCCTTTGTCCTTGGCCACCGTGGGGTCCCAGAATCAGTGAAGCCAAACTTATAAACCTTAAGGAGAAAAAAGTGTGCCCTCCCTTCTTCTCCTCTTCCATCATCACCTATAGGAGATAATATAAGGTAAGAGTCTGACTCACCGGTTTTTATTTTTTCTCCCTAAGAACCACAGATCTAGGGAAAGAGCTCCCTGAAGGCAGGAATTGTGTTGTTTTCATCTCTTTGTCCCCCTTCATGACCCCCTCCCCAACAGCACCTGGAAGATAGTAAGGACTCGGTAATCGGGTGTAAAATGAGGGAATGAAATGTTAAAGTGTATCAGAATAAAAGCATTTAACTGGGAGTCAGAAGCCCTGTGTTCTGGTCACAGATCCGCCGCTGTCTCAGGCAGGTCCATTCCCCTCTGGGGGTTCATTTTTCTCATCTGTAAAAGAAGAGAGTTGGGCTAGATGAGTTAAGATTTCAAGCCCTGATATTCTGTAGGGCTTTCTGAGGCTGTCCTAAACCCATAAACCCCTCAATTCTGCTTGAATACAGGATGCCGGCTTTATCAACCTGGTTTGACAACAAAGTTAATGACCTTTTAGTAATGAACTGGATTTTATGAATGGAGTGAAAGTGAGCAATAGGAACCAGAAAAAGCCATTTATATTTCTGATGTTTTCTTAAGAACCCCCTCTCTTATTTCTCTGGGAAAGCCATAAGTGTGACTCAGAATGACTGAACTGAGAGGGGCTCCTGCCTCCAAGCCCAGAGGCCAGGAACCACCACCCCATTATCCCTGCCACCACCACCACCACCACCACCACCATCTCTTGTGAGTAACAAAGGGCCAGGGACCCCACCATTGGCCATCTCCTACCAGGGACCCTGCCTGGCTATGATCTCCCTCCTAGGAAGACCAGAGGAGGGGACAAGCAGGAAATATCCATCCCTACAGAGAATTTATATTTGTGTTACGTGTGTGTGTGTGTGTGTGTGTATATATATATCAATCAAAATGAGTTTCTCTGATAATAATTTCCCTCAACTGTGGCAGGTCCAGCCGATGCTCAGAAAAACCTTAGCTAATTGGCATTTCGGTAGAGCTGAGTAAACCATGCCAGTGACCTCGCCGAATTATTCTGTGAGTGCCCAGCCAGGGTGGGGGACCAGTCCCCCCTCCTCACGTCATCGCTTTCTGGCTCCCAGCTGTTGGTGCAGCACTGGCAAGAATCAGCTCTCTGGAGTTAATGGACAGTCACTAACCCTCATAACAAAGTGACGGCAGCAGCAGCAGCAACAGCAAGCTAGTGAGGTGTTTTCTTTTCTGCAAGGCTGGTCTGCAGAGGAGCTGGCCTGCTACTGGGGTGAGGACAATACACTAGCCTTCCTTCTGCAGCTGTTTGGGTGGACACCCCACTCCCAGAGCTGTCAGGGTGCAGGGCATCTCTGGTCACCCAGGCAGATGACATCTGGCTCCTCTCCTGACCGGGGAAAACTACCCATTGGCTGCTTCCTGTGTTCCCCTCTTGTTCCCTCCTTGCTGAGGCTTTTATTCTGGGCCCTTCTACAAGGCCTCAAAGGGAAGAAGGGAGTCAACCCTGGCATATGGCACATGATTGGGTGATCTTGGGGGCGGGGGGGCTGCTGAGAAAGAGGAAGAATAAATGCAACATGGTCATTAAGAAATTGTGTGGCCAGGTGCAGTGGCTCACGTCTGTAATCCCAGCACTTTAGGAGGCTGAGGCGGGTGGATCACTTGAGGTCAGGAGTTCGAGACCAGCCTGGCCAACATGGCGAAACCCCCATCTCTACTAAAAGTACAAAAAGTAGCCAGGCATGTAACTTCAGCTACTCGGGAGGCTGAGGCATGAATCACTTCAGCCTGGGAGGTGCAGGCTGCAGTGAGCCAAGATCGTGCCATTGCACTGCAGCCTGGGTGATAGAGGGAGACCCTGTCTTAAAAAAAAAAAAAGAGAGAAAGGAAAGAAAGAAAGAAAAAAAAGAGAAATTGTGTGTGTGTGTGTGTGTGTGTGTGTGAAGAGAGAGATTAAAATGTTGAAATACACACATGCAGGTCCCTTCCCCTGCGTGATACACACAAAATGGCAGAAGCAGAGAATATCCAGAGATATCTGCACATCACTGGTTACCTTCAAGTCCAAAAGCCAATTCATCTGTGCATCCTAGAGGGGCTTCCAGCTCCAAAGTACACTGGGCAGACAGAAGCAGGAGGAACAGCCTTCAGCCTGGGAGAAGGAATATCCCAGTTCTCTAAACCTGCATTTTCCAACCCCTTTCCCTTCTCCGGGACTCAGCTGGCATCTCATATGGGGCAAGGTCCCCTCTGCTGCAAGCCAGGGGACACTAAAGACTGATCTTCACCCCCGCCGTTTATGTCAAGTCCTCATTTCTCTTACCTCCTGCCTTATTCTCTCTTCTCCTTCCTCCCTGCAGCTGCCCCCACCCCCATCACCCAGCAAGCAAACCAAGCAGGGAGTGGGGCCGGATGCTGAAACTCTTCATTAGGTGTGTTATCTTCCGCCATTAGATGTGCTGTTTGCTTCTAAGTGGTTGGGAATGAGCTGCTTCAGCGGAGAGACAGGTTGTTTCAGTGAGAAAAAAGATTTGATTTCCACCTGAAAATGGACTAATTTGAGTAGCAGAGCCATCATCCCAATCCTGTCAGCAATTTTCACCCTTGTCAGCCACAAGCCCATCTGCCAAGCAGGTGGATTATGCTTTAAAGGAGAGGCCAGTCTGGCCCATGGGAGCCCAGGGTGGCAGGGGGTAGAAAGAGGGCAATTGATTCTCCCTGGAAGACAGTGACTAAGAAACCTCCCGTGGGAGCCAAGAAGTGTTCAAGCTGTTTTATCTGTCTTTCCCAGGTTCCCCCATCAGCTTTCTCCTCTCCTTTTCTGTTCTCTCTTCTTCCCTCCTCTTCTCTCTCTCCAAAGGTCCTTCGACGATTCTCAAATCTCTTTCCCGCCCTGAACACTACCTAGGGCTTCGACTCCATACATCCAGCAGCCAGGCAGAATTTCTACTCTTTAACACACTTTAAAACAAAACTCGTCCACTTCTCCCCATCCTGCTCTTCTGTGTGTGTGTCTGTATGTCTCATTTTTCCAGCTTGGTACTTGGTGGGCCTTTTAATCTAAATATTCCTTTTTGTTTTTTAGTTCAGGAAACACTTGACGCTTCTGCTTCTTTAATTGTTATTTTTCTCCTCTAGTCTTTCCGTTGTGTCTTTCTGAAACTCCTATTAGATTGATGTTGGACCTCCTGGGACTCTCCTTCATGTCCCTTACCTTTCTTTTACCTTTTCCATGTTTCTGTCTTTTTGCTCTATGTCTTAGATAATTTCATTTACTTTTTCTTTTACATTGAAAGGTCTTACTTTATCTATGCCTAGTCTATTATCCAGTCTTTTCACTGAATTTTTGAAAATTTCGGCGATTATTTTTAATTTCCAAAATGCTCATGTTCTTGAATTGCTCCTTTTTCATAGCAGCCTGTTATTGTTTCATAGATGCAGTGTTCTTTTATATCTGCCTGAGGATATGAATTCAAAAAATTTTTTTTCAAAGTTTTTTTTCTGTAACTTGAATGATTTGGGATCTTATTGGGTCATTTGTTCTATTTGTTTATTTAATCCTTCTCTTTTATTTTCCTGTAGTTGTTTTTTATTATCTTTTGTTGTCCATTTATACTTAGGAATGAAGGAAGGCATTGACTAGAACAAGCAGCTAGTATGAATTTCCTCTGAAGTTGGCTAAGTTTGTTTCCACAGTAGGCCTCTCTTCTGAATGGGAGTTGTTCTTACCTCCAGTGTTTGGGGCTACAGGTTTCTCTACACTGATTTCCTCACCAAGGAATCTCATCTGCTCTTTATCTCCAGGAATTTCTGGCCCACTGATATAATTCTTTTTTGTTTTCCACAGGATTTATTATGATTTTATTCTTTTAAAAGATATACATCCTGTCATTTTAATAGAAACTTAAGAAGGAAAAGAGGTGGTCATTTGTGTTCAGGCTACCCTCTTGAACCGGCAGCAGCCTCCCCTTAGGTTTTCTGTCTCAGGTGGTTGCATGGCCTTCTATTTGGTTGACAAAGCCAGAAACCTGGGAGTCACTTTTGTCGTCTTCCTCTTCCTCTTCCTCACTTCTAGTGACCCACAGATTCCTGTTCATTTAGCCTCCTAATTGCTCCTTAGATCTGACTCTTCCTCCTTTTCAATTCTGCCACAGATCAGTTTCAGGTCCTCATCCTCTCCTGCCTGCATTTTTTTTTTTTTTTTTTGACAGAGTCTCACTCTGTCACACAGGCTGGTGGGTGGCATGATCTTGGTTCACTGCAACCTCCGCCTCCCAGGTTCAAGTGATTCTCCTGCCTCAGCCTCCCAAGTAGCTGGGATTACAGGTGCACGCCACCACACCTGGTTAATTTTGTGTTGTTAGTAGAGATGGGGTTTCACCATGTTGGCCAGGCTGGTCTCAAACTCCTGACCTCAAGTCATCCACCCGCCTCGACCTTCCAAAGTGCTGGGATTGCAGGTGTGAGCCACCGTGCCTGGCCTTCTGCCTGCATTCCTACAATAGTTTCTTAACAGGACTCCTAGCCTCCATTCTCACCCACCTTAAATCCTTTCTATCCCCTGCCGCCCATCAGAGTGCTCTGTCTAAAACATAGGCATGACCATAGAACTTCCCTGCTACACCCATCACTGGCTCCCCAGTGCTCCTCTGCATGGCATGGGAGGCCTTCCCACCTCTCCTGCCTCATTCCATCGCTACCAAACACCCTGGCTTCCCCTCTATATCACTACCCCATGCTTTTGTGCTATAACCTCTTCTGGAAATGCCCTTCTCTCATTCGGTCACCTAGATGATTCCTATTACTTTTTCCTTCAAGACTGAGTTCAGAAGTCACCTGCTCTGAGAAGCCTCTTCCTAGTTCTCACCATCACCTTCACTGCCATCCCACAATAGGGGTCCCTTATCAATGCACCCATAGCATTCTGTGTGCTGCTAGCACAACTTACTCCATCTATTGAAACTTTGTATTTGCTAGTCTGTGTTTTCTACCCTTCCTCACAGCAGGTGCCACTTCTGGTTTATTTTTGCAACCCAATAACTGGCCTGAAGTAATTGTTCAAGAAATGTTTATTGTGCAGAACCAAATGTGCCTCAGCCAGATGTATTCCATCTACCCCAAATCCTGGAAAGTACTTTCTTCCCAGAGAGTCTCAGTACACCTAGCTCACCCATTCACTAATTCACTCATTCATTCATGAGATCCACTGTCTATTGAGTGCCTAGTATATGCCACGCAAGGGAATGCAGGGAGGAGCAAGACAGACCGTTACCACCCCGCTGGAGCTCACAGTCTGGTGAAGGAGAAAGACGCTAATGAATGAATCACACATATATAAATAGAGACTGTGATAAGCACTTTGAGGCAAGGAGCATGGAGCTGTGAAGAGCAGATAACCAGGGAGGCGAAATCTAGACTGAGGAATTAGGGATGACCTCTCTAAGGAAGTGACCTTTGAGCTGAGAGCTAGAGCATCCTAATGTGAGTGAAGCTTCTGACAAACAGAGATGGGAAGTGAAGGAGAGAGGGGACATGAGCCGAAAGGGGGAATGGCACTGGGGAATGATGTGCCAGTGATCTGTTGCTGCCCAACTACCCCAAAACCTGGTGGCTTAAAACAACAGACATTTTATTATACTTCACGACTTCGGAGGGTCAGAAATGCAGGCAGGGTTTAGCTATGTGATCATTCCACTCTGTATGGCATTAACAGAGGTCACTTGGTGACAGATGGGCTGGTTTGAAGAACCGAAAATGGCTTCACTCACAATGGCTGGCATCTTGGGGATGATGAGGAGGCTGGGCTCAGCAGCTTCCATCGATGAGAGCATCTATACACACATGGCCTTTCCAGCATGGTGGCCTCAGAATCATCCAACTACTTACAGAATGGCTCAAGATTCCAAGAGCGAGTGTTCCAGTGAGCAAGGTGAAAGATGGCCTTTTATGCCTTGGCCTCAGAAGTCACATAGCATCACTTTTGCTGTGCTCTGTGGTTGAAGCAGTTGCAAGCCCACCCAGATTAGGGAGAAAGGGCATAGACCCCCTAACTCTTCCTAGAAAGAGTGTCGAATTATTTGCAGCCAGGTTTTACAATCATCACAATGATTTTATTTTTTAAGTGAGGGAGACTACAATATGTTGAAGTGCCATTAGGAAGGATCAGGAATTAGGAGCAGTTGGAGACAGAGGCGAGAGAAAGGATAATCAATTGTGTTAGGCTTGCTGAGAAGGCAAACTGAGACAAAGAAAGCTCAGTTCCCCATTTTCTTTGACTCTGCCAACCTCGCCCCCCTCGCCACCCCTGGCTCTTTCTCCCTTTATTCTCAAATGCAGCAAGCTGCAGCTAATGACTCCAAGCTGGCTTGGTGGCTCTTTCGCTTATCACCAGCCAGAAATCTTCAAATCCAGCGCCAAGCCATCAACAAACAGCCACCAGAGTCACAACACTTCACAGTTTACAGAACAGTTTATACATGATCTGATTAGAAGACGGTCTAGCGCCTGTTCTAAAAGATTTCACCTTTTCCCTGGATTTTAATAATTTACATTTAATCTTCTGCCCGATTAGGAAGTTCTGGTTTTTATCTCTCAGTTTAAAAGCAATCTCTCTTGTTGCACTGAGAGATAGTGGTCAGTATCTCAACTTCTTCACAAAGGCTCGGTATTTATTTGAATCCAGACCCTTGGGGTTATCTAGGCAGCTACCCCTGGGCTGCTAAATCACCCTAAATCTCTTAATCTTTTTTTAACGCTCCCATTTCTCATTCCTGTCACTTAAGACTCTGGTTTTAACTCATTCAAGATCAACTCCTCACCACTCTCACGCCTACCACATATCACAACCCTCCATATCCACCAATCACATAGCTCCATGCAGTTATGCCCTGAAAGGAGTGGGAAGTCAGAGCCCAGGCTTTAGACTAAATCAAACCTGGGTCAAATCCAGTCTCTCCACTGTTTAATCTTGGGCAAGTTCTGAGCCTCAGTTTCCTCATCTAAACAATGGGGAATAATAATAACCGGCTTCATTTGTTGTTGTAAAGTTTTGAGATAAAGCACATGGAACACCTCATGGGAGGATGCAATAAATAGCAGCTGTTACCATTTTACAGGGTTCTGATAAAGGCTGACCCCATCCTAGGGTGTGAGCCAACTCCTGGTCACATACACCACACTGTCCTTTTGGCCTCTCTTTAACAGTGTTCATGATGCCTCCTCCCAATCAGGTCAGAGCCCACCAGGCAGTGCACACAGCAACCCTCCTCAAGGTGTCAGCCCTACAGCAAATCCTGGAGAACATGGTCCTGTTCAGGCCAGCTGTTTTATCACCTTTGCCAGGACCTCTGGTCTCCCATCCCTGCATCTGTTTGGTGGCTAAAAGCATGCATTCTGGTCAAACAGACTTGGGTCAAATAGAGCTCTGCCACTCTCTAGCTGTGTGATCTCAGAAAATCGATTTAATTTCTCTAAACCCCAGTTTCCCCACATGTTAAAGAGGATGGATTAAATGAGATAACCCATTTGAAGCACTTGGCATGGCGTTCAGAACAAAACAAGCACCCAATAATGGTAGCTGATACATAGTGGCATTAGGGTACCGTGATTCTGACGTCAGACTTCCAAGGCTCATGTCCAGCTCCCCACTCACCAGCTGTGTGCTGTGAGCACCTACAACTTTCCTATGCCTCAGTGTCTTTTGCTGTAAAATGCAGATGATGATGACATAGACTTCACATGGCTAGTATAAGGATTAAATGAGATGATATATAGCATTTAGAACAGTGTCTGGAGCACAGTAAGAACTTAGTAAGCACAGGTTGTTATTATTATTCCATCCTTTTACTCTCAACCTTTTTGGATTGTCACATTTAAGTTTCATTGCTTATTTGCAGCATATTTTGTTAAGTCCAATCTATCTTTTTTGTTTGTTTGTTTGTTTGTTTGGTTTGTTTTTGTTTTTGAGACAAAGTCTTGCTCTGTTGCCCAGGCTGCAGTGCAGTGGTGCAATCATGGCTCACTGCAGCTTAGACCTCCTGGCCTCAAGCGATCCTCCCGCCTCGGCCTCCCAAGTAGCTGAGACTACAGGTGTGCACCACCACACCTGATTGATTTTTTTATTTTTTGTAGAGATGGGGTTTCATTATATCGCCCAGGCTGGTCTTGAACTCCTAGGCTCAACTGATCCACCCACCTTGGCCTCCCAAAATACTGATTACAGATGTGAGCCACCATGCCTAGCCTCTTTGTCTTTTTTAAGTCATCTTTGAGATATAATACACATGACAAAATTCACTAATTTTAAGTGTACAATTCAATTTGTTTTGTGAAATATATGTAGTCCTATAATCACTACCACAACCAAGAGATAGAACATTAGAACATGTGGAAAAAGAAAATATAAAAGAAACAATAAATTAAAAATTATAAAATAAAATAAAGAGATACATTTAAAAAAGAGAGAGAACAATTCTGACATTCCTTAAAGTCCTCAGGCCCCTTTCTAATCAATGCCCTCCTCTCCCCCCAGCCCTGAGCAACTACCCATCTGCTTTCTGTCGCTATAGTTTTGCCTTTCCTAGACTTTCAAATAAGTGGAATAAAACACTATATGACTATCTTTGTCTTTTTTTGGGCAATTTTATTCCATTTACATTCATTGTCATTACTGATGTAGTTGGTTATAAGCTTAACATCTTAACTATTTACTTTCTATTTGTCTCACCTATTCTATATTCCTTTTTCTATTTTTTCTTGCCTCCTTTTTGATAGCACTATCCTTTTGGATAGTACTTTGGGAGGCCAAGGTGGGAGGGTCGCTTGAGCCCAGGAGTTTGAGAACAGCCTGGGAAACATGGCAAAACCCTGTTTCTACAAAAAATACAAAAAAATAGCTGGGCGTGGTGGTACATGCCTATAGTCCCAGCTACCTGGGAGGTTGAGATAGGAGAATCCCTTGAGCCCAAAAAGTCGAGGCGCAGTGAGCTGGAATCATGCCATTGCACTCCAGTCTGGGAAACAGAATAAGACCCTGTCTCAAAAAAAAGAAAAAAATTTTATTATTTCATATTCCTCATAGTGGTTATACATTTTTTTACTCTTTTTTCAGTGACTATCAGAGCAGTGGTTCTTAAAGTGTGGTCCCTCAACCAGCAGCAGCATCAACATTACCTGGGAACTTGTTAGAAATGCAAATTCCCAGGCCCCACCCCAGAATCATAAACCGTTAGGGTAAAATCCAGCAATCCAGGTTTAACAGGTCCTCCCTGTGATGTTGATGCATGCTGAAGTCTGAGAACTCCTGCCCTGAGACAACTTTCGCTTCTGGCGGGCAGCTGGGCTGTGTGCAGATGGCCTTCATCCGACAAGGGGTGGAGCTGATTCAAAGCCTGGTTTCAGTGCTGTGAGGGCTGGTTTGTTTCTGAGTTGCTCCTACTTCCAGCATGTAGCCCTAAAGAGGTCCCAGCTGAAAACCAGGGTATTTATTGGGGGCCCTCCTCCTTAACAGGTCCTGACCTCCAATTTTTCACCCCCAGCCCTGAGGTTTCTGGAAGAGCAGCCTCTAAGCTGCCCCTTAGGAATCAGGAAAGGTCTCAAAGGGAAACGCAGTGTCAAGTGTCAGGCTGGCCTCCCTGTGTTTCTCTTTCCTCTGGGATCTTGGCATTCTGACCCTCCAGTTCTTACTCCCTTGGTGATTCCTTGAAGCCTTCATATTACCCACCCACCACACACCACTTTTCTAGCTGTTATTGGCGGTTTGGCGTGACATGACTTAGTCTGCCCCAGCTGAAAAAGGAGGCCCTCTATCCTGTTGTTATTCTATTACCAGGAATCTAGAGTCAACACGAGCATTTAGAACAGTTCCCGGCACATGGTCAAAAACTCAGTAAGTGTAAGTTATTCTTCTTCTCCCAATAAAATCCTAGAGTCATATTGAGCTGAGTTGTTAAAAATCAACTCCTCCTAAATCTCTCATACATTTGACAGATAAATGAACCAATGTCACACTGTATGATTGGACTCCAATGCAATTGGACTCAGCAGGAGACTGTAATTTGACTCCAGCGGATTCCTGAATGGTTTCCTGCCCCTGGTCTGGAAGGTGGCAGTGTGCTCTCCATCCCCAAATCAGGGAATGGGAAACCTTCGGGCCCAGCTAAGTTCTCAGCTCAGAAAAAGACAACCTGGGTGCTGCGGCCTCAGAGCCACCTTCTCTCCCTCTCCCATTGTGGGACCCAGACCCACAGCCCCAGCTGCACAATTTGGAGCAATCTCAGCTTCAGAATTCCAGACCTCTCATATAGTTCCTCTGGAGCAGAGTACACACAGGCATGCCTACACACACACGTGTGCGTGCATGCATACACAAACAAACACACACGAGTGTGGGCACACTCACCCGTAGGTCCTCAGGTAACCACACAGGGTCTGGAAGGCACACACCATCCAGGGAAGACTAAACCACAACGGTGGTGATGATAATTGCTCTGCTCTGAGTGCCGGTCCCTTACTCCAGTGAACAGGGAGAGGCAGACCCAAGGAATGGGCTGAAAGGCCAGGCCAAGCCAAGGGCAGGAAGGCTGTGTCTGGGGACCTGCCACCCTCTCCTTCTGGTCAGGAATCTGTGCTGGGTCTCCAGGATCACGTCCGCGAACTCCCCATGTGGCCCTAGTAGGATATGGGGTGAGTATGAGCTGTGTAGAGAACCATGACCCTTGGCTGGACTGTGAGCAGATGCAGCTGCTGCTAACTCAGATTGCTTTATGGAAGAAGAGGTGTGTGTGGGTGTGAGTGTGTGTCTGTGTGTGTGTGTGTGTGTGAGTGTATATGTGAGGGGGCAGGCTTTAATGCTGTGCTCAGCCGCCAAACCTAGAAAGAACCCCTCAGCCTAAGGAGGTTTTAAACTGATTTTAGATAATTTGGCTCAGAAGAAATCTATGCACTTAATTTTTTTCTGGTTTAAAAGTAGTACATGCTCATTGTAAAAAAAAAAAATGTGGAAAACAGAAAAAACAGTATAAAAAAGAAAATGAAAAGCACCTGTGCTCCCACCCCTGGAGATAATCACTCTTGACATTTTGGCGGAGTTGAGATTACATGCATTTACCATTTTCTTTTCTTCTTTCTCACCGAATCTGCAATGAGTATTTTCTCACGTCATTACTCTTTGTAAACCTGTTTGAAGGCCTCGTACAACTGTATTGTGCACAGTAATTTATTTAACTTGTTCCCAATTGCTGGACGTTTAGGTGGCTTCCAGTTTTTCATATTGTGTAAAGCCAGGACCATGTGTCTTTGTGCATGAAGTGCTGAGAAGCCCTGCTTAAAGGCACCATCAGAGCCCAAGGGAGGAGGAAAGCTGGTAAAGGCTGAGTGTGGCTGGGATTGCGGAGGCTCAGCTGGGTGTACTTTGACCAAGAAAGTCTGACAGGAGCAGTGATGGGGGAATAGGGGGAAGAACTGGGATTCAGCTGCCCCTGCCTGCTTTGAACAATTGTCCTTCAAATGCCCCTATGGTCTTCAGGTATCTTTCCATCCCTCCTGGAGAGATCAGACAGGAGGGCAGTCCTCCTGGTGAGACAGAGCGTAGGGCAGGGGTGAGTCAGATGCAGTAATCTGCTCTGTGGGCCCTGGGGCTGCCCACTCCCACCCCAAGGCCCCTGCATGCCTCAGCCCACATGGATGGTGACAGCACAGTGCACCTGACTCGAGGCTGCAGGTTGAAGGGACATACATTATGGCCAGCTGGGGGAGAGGCTGGAGGACCTTTGGGGGCCATGTCCTCCATTCCCAGAGGGTGGGCAAGATGGGCAGGGGTGGAGGGGCAGGGCTGCAACTGGGGCAGTACAGGGGCAGTCGGGAAGCCCGAGATGAATCCATGGCTCTGTCGCCCATCTGGAAAACTGATGCCTTGCTCTCCTTTGCCTTCCTCAACCTGCTCAAGGGGCTATGGTAGGGAAGGGGATGACTGTGCCCCTCACTAGGCTCTACATGTGTTCACCTACCCCCGACCCTCAAAAGGGGGCAGAGGACAACAAGACTTCACTTCTGTGGTGTTCCTTGGGGGCATAGGATCATGGAATGTTAGTGCTACAGTTGATTGACACCAGTGGCCATTTCATACAATCACTCACTGGGGAAACTGAGAGGCCACATCAAAAAGCTAATGGGGGTGGACCGGGCATGGAATCCCAGTGTACGTGACTCCCAAATCCATACGGCTTACAGAGCTCACATGCCCTCAACCCCACACCTACGGTCACATCCACTGGGAGAAGGGAGACCATGGCAGGGGCTCCAAAGCTGCCCTTGGAGGGCAGAAGAGACCAGTCCTGCTGGAAATCTGCCCAGAGGAGCCCAGCCACGAGCCCAGCCCAGCAAGGCCTCTGCCTTGGGCACTCTGTGCTCCCCACCTGCTGGAAGGTGCCCTCCACATCACTATAATCCAAGGGGTTCCCTGTATTTTTGACCCCCAGAGAGGAAGGAGGAGGCCCTGCATTTGTGAGCACTGAAGAACTATGATCCAAGTCTGCATGACCTGCCCAAGCCTGTGCGCCCTATCTCTGCCTGTGGAGAGACGTCTGCCACAGCTGCATGACAGCCTATATGGAACTCACCTCTGGTTAATGCATCAGCAGGGCCCTCAGGCCCATGGCAGCCCAGCATCTCCGGACCATCTGTGCCCTCCCTGGGGGAGGAGCTGGCGCTTGGGCCACAACCCCTTCTCTGAGTAACCCCCATGATTATTTGTTAGATGTTCTTGGAGCCCAGCTTAGAGGCAGCCAGTCTTGGATTCAGAGCTGAGAGCCACGGGTAGTGTCTTCTTGCCCCCTTGCCCTCATGCAGCCAGCAGCCCCCACCCCGCTTCCTAGGAAGTCAGCCAGGGGATCCTGGCCCCTCATGGACACACCCTCAGTGTCTTCGTCCAGGTCTGATTGGCCCCACTCCTCCCTTGCTCTGTCCCAATACCTGGGCATTGTTCCTGGAGCCATGCTCTGTCTTCAGGTTTCTCAGGAACCAGCTTCCTAGCATCCAGACATTTCTCTTGGGGCAGAAGAAGAAACTGCTCTTTTCCAGGATTTGGCTGTGGATTCTCATGGGGGCTGGGACTGGAGAGGTGACTAGATAATCGCAGCCCTGGGAGCAGAAGGATCTCCCTGCACTTTGCCCTTCACCCTTAGCAGAGACCTGCTAGAAGGCCAGACATGGCCCCAAGTGGGTGACGCCAAAGTCTGAAGCCCAGAAGTCAGGGCGGCAGCAGCCCCCTCTCTCAAAATCTACCACACATTCTCATCCCAGCCATCTCTTTGGCTCCACAAAACAACTTTATGGGGATGTATGGATGGTAATCCCTATTACCATCCACACCTTACAGATAAGGAAACAGAGGGCACGAAGATCTGCCCAAGGCGTCAAGACCAGGACTGAATCCCCAATCTTCAGATTAGAAATCCAGGGCAAGACACAGCCCCATCACCCTCCAGCTTTGCGATGGGCCAAGGAGGGGGACAGCAGGAGGTCCCTGGGGCCCCTAGCCTGCCCCTGGCCTCTCTCCATACCCCACTTGCACCTGCCACACCCAGTGTGTTGGGGGGGTTTATGGCTTCCCAGGTGCTCAGTAGGTGCTCAAAGCAGCTGAAGGAGGAAGGGAAGCCCTGAGTGTCTCCATACTTCCAAACGGGATGTGCAGGTCCAGACCTCAGAACCCAGGAGGCCCCACCTTAGATCCTGCAGGAACTTCTCAAAGTCCCAATTTGCCTTAGGGAGGAAGTTACTAAGGTGTATCCCTCTAAGACCATTGCTAGGGACAAGCATCCTCCCTCAGTAAGAGCTGACAGCTGTGAGCACATGCCGTGTGCCAAGCTCTGGACTCAGCGCGCTCCCATTCGACCCTAGAATGAATCCTTTCTCAACCCTAAGTCCCACCTGCCACTGAGTCCTGTCAATATTTCCCAGGATCAGTTCCCTTTCCTCCATCTACACCACTACTGAACCCCAGTTATCTTCGCTAGCCTGCAGCCATAGCAAAGGCCCCCTAATGGGGTCAGTCGGTCCAGCCCTCTGCAGTCCACTCCCCACACACAGGCATGGGGAAGGCTTCAGGACCCAGATCCTAACCTAGTACCCCCTCTTAGACTCAAGCAAGGCTGCACGGTCTGGCCCCCACACCCCATCGCACACCTCCATCTGTGCCCTGCACCACACCTGCCTTTTCCTGTATCCAACCACGGGGCCTTTGCACACATTCTTCCCTCTGCATGAAATGTGTTCTGCATCCCCTTCACCTCATTGACCCACACTCTTCCTTCAGATCTCAGCTCTAAGGCCTTCCCTGGGTCTCTGTGTCAGCTCCATCCATTGTGCATGCTTACATGCACCTGCTGTACTTCTTCAGGGCAGAGACTTGATTTTACACTTGTCTTCTCCACCAGACTGGAAGTTTTGTGAAGACAAAGCAGGCATCTGCTCCCTCTCCCTACTTCTCATCTTTCTCACCATGGTACCCCAAGCATCCAGTACAGTGCCTGGCATATAGCTGATGCTCAGTAAATATGTGTTGAATGGACAAATGACTAAGCCAACTCTGTGGGGTAAGCACTACTGCCAGTCCCAAGCCACAGACAAAGAAACGGAGGCCCTGAGAAGTGAAGTAGCCAGTTCCAGGTCCTGCATCTTGCAAAGGGCAGAGGCAGAGTTTGAGCCAAGTCAGACTGCAGGACCCATGCTCTTCACCACTTTAGGTCCTGCCTCCAGTGCCCTGGCCTCAGTGCTTGTCTGTCTTGCTCTTCTGACAGGCTCTGAGGACTGCTCAGCTGGCCCAGGCCCCCCTCCCCAGCAGCTGCCCCAGAACCATGGAGAGTCTGAGTGAACTACAGAACCCGCTGCTGCCCAGGAGCCCTGCCCATCTCCATGGCCCCTATCCCTACCCGGAGACCCCACCCAGCTGGTCCTGCCAGGAAAAGCTCTACTCCTACCTCCTAGGTGGCGCTGGGCCTGCCGGAGCCCACCAGCTCCTGGACCCAGGGTCCCTGCAGCTGGCCGTGGAGGCCTGGTACCGGCCCAGCTGCCTCCTGGGGAGAGACAAGGTCAAGGAGCCCAGGGCAGGCAGCTGTGAGACAAGCTTCACAGAGGACAGGGAGCCCCAGGAGGGGCCTCCAGAGCAGCCCACAGGACCTGGCCAAGCTGCAGAGAATGTCACCATCCAGACTGTGTCCTATGGGGTACAAGAGGAGCTGCGGGACCAGGAGGATGACCAGGAGGAAGAGGAGGTGAGTGCATGAGGTTAAAATGCAGATTCCAGCATGAGCAACACAAGGAGA
The DNA here is from genome assembly GCF_000001405.40 of Homo sapiens. Classification (NCBI taxonomy): domain Eukaryota; kingdom Metazoa; phylum Chordata; class Mammalia; order Primates; family Hominidae; genus Homo; species Homo sapiens. The sequence continues at coordinate 74,409,276 of NC_000014.9, read as the reverse complement.
CCCCGACTCTACAAAAAAAAAAAATTGAAAATTAGCCTGGCGTGGTGGCATGTGCCTGTGGTCCCAGCTAATCAGGAGGCTGAAGTGAGAGGATTGCTTGAGCCCAGGAGGTTGAGGCTGCAGTGAGCTATGATTGCACCACTGCACTCCTGCCTGGTGATAGAGCAAGAGCCTGACTCAAAAAAATATAAATAAATAAATAAATAAATAAATAAATAAATAAATAAAATGCAAGTTCCCAGAGCCCCATCACCAGATATCGAGATCTAAGAGGCCTGGATTAGGGCCCAGGAATCTGTATACTACCAAAGAAAAGGGACTTGGGACACATGTACAGCCGATGCTTTGAGAAACACTAGCTTTGAGTTGACTATTTCATTGTTCAATAGCACTTGTTCTTGTTTTCTTAATTATATAAATAATTTAAACCCAGCACACTCAAAGATAACATTTTGGTGGATGATTGTGTAAGTCTCTTATTCACATTTTCCCCCAGCCCACTCCCCAGAAGAAATCTTGCTGTACATAGTTTTATAATCTGATTTTATTTCTCTAAGCAACATATTTTAGTATTGCTCCATGTAATTTAATGTATTCCTGAGAGGTGATTGTTAATGGTTACATGGTCTTCCATTGTGAGTTCTTCCATCATTTATTAACATAGTCTCCTGGTCACTGGTCATTGAAAGTGTTTCTTTTTTTTTTTTTTTTTTGAGATGGAGTCTCGCTCTGTCGCCCCGGCTGGAGTGCAAAGGTGCGATCTCAGCTCACTGCAACCCCCGCCTCCCAGGTTCAGGCAATTCTCCTGCCTCAGCCTCCCAAGTAGCTGGGATTATAGGCACCTGCCACCATGCCCAGCTAATTTTCGTATTTTCAGTAGAGAGGGAGTTTCATCATGTTGGCCAGGCTGGCCTCGAACTCCTGACCTCAGGTGATCCACCCGCCTCGGCCTCCCAAAGTGCTGTGAGTACAGGTGTGAGCCGCTGTGACTGGCCCATTGAGAGTGTTTCTCTTCTTTCACAATTGCTATCCTATGATGAACAACCCTGGATGTAGGTATTTACCTTCTTTCCTCGTGATAAATTCCTAAAAGTGGAATCATTGTGCCATTGTTAAGGCTTTTGGTAGAAAGTGCCAAGGCCAGCCTACATCCCCACCTGCGGCAGAAGAGACTGCTTGTTGCTCCATGTCACTGGCCACTGGGCATTGCCTTTTAAAAAACCTCTTGCCAGCCTGATGGGGCTGGGCTGATCCTGGGCCTGGTCACCAAACTCCACTGTTTTGCAGAGCGATGCCACTTCAACGGAGAGTGAAAGTGAAGACAACTTCCTCACGCTGCCTCCCAGGGACCACCTGGGACTTACTCTCTTCTCCATGCTCTGCTGCTTCTGGCCACTGGGCATTGCTGCCTTCTACTTCTCCCAGGGGGTAAGAGCACCTGGGGCCCAGGTCCCTTCTCTGGCCCGTCACTCTACTGGAGGGCTTGGCATCCCGTCTGCAGGATGGGGTCAGGGGCCTGGCAGGCTGGGCTGTTTGGCTGGGTGTGGGGACACTCCTGTTCATCAGCATGTCTCTCTCCCTAGACCAGCAAGGCCATCTCCAAAGGGGACTTCCGCCTGGCCAGCACCACCTCCCGCCGGGCCCTCTTCCTAGCCACACTCGCCATCGCCGTGGGGGCCGGTCTCTACGTGGCTGTGGTGGTGGCTCTGGCAGCTTACATGTCCCAGAACGGTCATGGCTAGTAGCCAGTAGGGCCTGCATCCTGACTCCCCTGCCCACCTGAGGAAGCAGTGGGGCTTGGAGTTGCAGACCCTATGGAAAGGCCCGGCCCCTGAAGATGATCCCGTGAGAGTGGCTTGCTGAGGGGGAGACCCCCATTCCACAGCCTGCAGAGCTCAGCCTTCACTTCTGCTTGCCCGCTGCTCCCAGCCCCAGAGCAGGGCCCGGGGCGCCACTCTCTAACCCAGGCTACAGACGGGAAACAGAAGGCAGGGCTGCCCACCAGGCCATCCCAGCAGGGCCTAGCTCCATCCATTCTGCCCATTCCCTAGAGGATCTCCTGCCCTACAGCCAGCCCACCACCTACCCTGCCAACCTCCCCACAGAGAAAGAGCAGGAGGTTACAGGGAGAAAAGGGGGTGCCCAGAGCACAAGGGGACCCGTCCCAATCCTTTCAGCCCACAGGGATCTTCACCTGGGGACAGCCTGAGCTTCCCCCAACTCCACTGTCTGGCCCCATCATGCCCAGACCTCAGCAGGCCAAGAAGGAAATACGTGGAGGCAAGGGGGCCTCTTGCTGTCTCTGATTCTAGAGGGTGCTTATCTCTGCATGGGCTTGTGAGGCACTGTAGATTCTAGATAGGGAAGAGGAGCCTCGGTATGTAAACTCTGAACCAAGGGCAGGTTCTTGGAGCTTCTTCATGCGGGTGCAAAAGGCAGTTGCAATGACAGAGAATAGAGGGTCCTGAAATATTGCTGTACTACATGACTCTTCCTACTCTCCCCCCACTCCCCGCCCCTATCATCCTTTTCTGGGCTTTGCCTGGGGGTCCGTGAGCTGGTGCCATCACAAGTAGACTAGACCCAGAGAGTGCCCTCAGCTCACCAGCCACTGAGCGCACGGCCCTAGGTCCAGCCCTACAGAAAACGCAGCAAGGAGAGACCCTAGGGAGTAGTGAGTATAGATGAGGGAAGGGACTCAGGGAAGGAATGGCCTGCTGAGTAGTCAGCGGTGCTTAGGAAGGCTTCCTGGAGGAGGTATCCCTTGAGCAAGTCCTAGGATGAATAGAATTCATCTAAGGGATTTGGTCACATAACTCTTTGTATTTGTAGGCAGGGATGTGGCAGGAACCTTCCATGGGAAGCTTCCAGGCTGTTTGGATTCTGCCTGGAACATCTGGGCTGGAGCCAAACTACAGCCATTCCTAAGGGTTCTGCCAACTCAAGGAGGAACGTCACACCTGTCTCTCAAAGACCAATGATGTTTTCCCATCTCTGAATGCTAGGGGGTCAGTGGTGGGTACCTGGTTACCCCTGGGGCATCTTCACTGATATCTCTGCTCAGTGCCAGTCTCAACACCCTCAGCCACTAGGGCACATCCAGAATTTTAGAGACATCTCCAGGTAGGCGGGGGGCAGCACCAATGTGGGCAGGCCTGTCTGGACTCAAGCTACAGGCCCCTGCTGTGCATGATGTGGGAACCTGGTCATTCCCATGCCCCATCCAGAGCCCAGGGCTGTGGCTCCACCACTGAGCATCCCTTGTCCCACTGTCCTCCCCTGCCTCGGGCACTGCCCAGCCCTCCACTCCTGCATCACAGCAGTTTTAAGGTCCCATTATTGTACTGATTTATCCTTGTAATAAATGTTTCTGTAACACCTGGTGCCCTCTAGGTATCTTGCTGTGCTACCTGCCCCGCCTTTGCCTGAATCCCATTCTTCTCCAAGACTGACCTGTTGCTATGTCTGCTGCTCTGACCCCTGGCAGCCTGCGGAGAGGACAAGCCCACGTATGGGCCTTAGGAGGAGTGGTGGCCAGAGTGTCTGCACCATCCCAGGATTCCTCTGCTTGGAGTAGTCTGGCTGTAGAGTGATGGCCTGCATTTGGCTTGCTCTAGGCAAGCCAAAGCAAGATCCGTGCCTGGAAAAAAAGCCCTTCTAGGCTCAAGAGCCTTGGAGGACAGGGAGGAAGGGATGTGAGCCAAGGTGACTGAGGCTCCATGGAGCTGCCTGGAGCTACCAAGGGTGGATACAGGGTGTGAGGGGGCCAAGGAGTCCACGCCCCTGCTGCCTGCTCCTTCACCATCTCTTCCATCCCAGGAGCCGCTCCTGGACCATGTGGAGAGGAAGGCATCTCTGCCTGCCTCAGGCCCCAGCTCAGCACCAAATCTCCAATATCCTCTCAGACCTGAGCCCCCAGGAGCCTGCCTGGGCCAGCACAGGGACTGGCCTGGCCTCTAGGTCACTTGGATGGAGGGCCCTGGGGAGGCAGGTTATGCACATCCCATATCCACGTGTGCACCTACTTGTAAGACACAGCTGTGCACGTATGCACACACACATGCTGCATGGGTTGCGAACCCCAGAAACAGAGATTAGCCTGTGAGATGGATATGAGGGGCTGCTGTTGGGATAACGTTTGTAAAAGCATGGAGAGGGAGGCAGATCTGGGCAGAGGGAGAGGTCAGGCTGCAATGCAGTCCTGAATGACAGGCTGGGCCAACCCACAGGGGAGCCAGAGTTGACCCAAATTGGGGTGAAGAGCCAGGTCTTTCCACTCCCTCATTGACCAGTCATTAGATGTGGGCCACCCAGAAAGAGGGTGTGACCTCAGGCAAGGCAGTGGTCTTCAGCTGAGACAACACAAAAACATTTGCCCTGAAGACTGTTTGCTGCCAGGACCTGCAGCAGCTGGAAAGCTGTCCATCCTTCCTGAAGGGATCCTGAGTGGCATATCACCACGTCCACCACACCCACCCACCCAGCAGCAGACGCCCTGGTGCCCACCTAGATCCCCTCTGCATTCACCTCTTCACACTGAAGGCTGCTTCAGTCGTGTTCTACACAGGTTCCCTGGGCTCCCCAGTGGGCCTGAGCTCAGTTGCCTGCAGCAGCACTCTGCTTGATACATGCCCTTCATTGGCTGATTTCCTCACCCTGCCTCCTTCCCTACTCCCCAACTGTGCTTCCTGGGATCATCCCCCAATAAACCGCCTACAATTGAACCCTTGTCTCAGGGTTGGCTTCTGGGAGAAGCCAAACCCCGGCACACAGCATGCACGTTCACACGCACATGTACATCTTCCATATATATGCACACACTTGCACATACATGTACCCACACACAGGCATACACATACACATAGGCACAGCCACACACCACGCAAACCTTTGTGCACACACACGCACATGTACACAGGCACAGCCCACACATGCACAAAAGCTGTATGCACATACACACACACACACATGCACCATGTGCACATACAAGAGGTGAAGAAGGAGGCTCACACCTGTAATCCCAGCACTTTGGGAGGCTGAGACAGGAGGATTGCTTGAGCCCAGGAGTTCAAGACCAGCCTGGGCAACATAGTGAGACCCCATTTCCACAAAAAAAATTTAAAAACTAGCTGGTCGTGATGGATGATGGTGCATGCCTGTGGTCCCACTACTACATAGGAGGCTGAGGCAGGAGGATCGTTTGAGCCTGGGAGATTGAGGCTGCAGTGAGCCATGACCACACTACTGTACTCCTGCCTAGGTGACAGTGAGACCCTGTCAAAAAAAAAAAAAAGAGAGAGAGAGAGAGATTATTTTTAAAAAAGGAGGAAGAGAAGGAGGCATGGTGGCTGAGGAGTCTCACCTGGCCCTGCCTGCGCTGTGGTCCCACCCATCACCAGCCTGGCTGGGGCCCCGGAAAGGGCACTGGGCAGCATGCACCCTGGTCCATGCCCTGCTTGGGCTGGGCGGGCAGCCTCATGGTCCACAATTCTCACCTCCTTGCCAGCCCTCTGAAATGCTGTTCCAGGCTTTGAGAAGGGGAAAGAGAAGCCAAACAATTTTCTATCTTTTTTTTGCGGGTGGGGGGATGGAGTTTCACTCTTGTCGCCGAGGCTGGAGTGCAATGGTGCGATCTCGGCTCACTACAACCTCTGGATCCCAGGTTCACGTGATTCTCCTGCCTCAGCCTCCCGAGTATCTGGGATTACAGGCACATGCCACCACACCCAGCTAATTTTGTATTTTTAGTAGAGATGGGATTTCACCATGTTGGTCAGGCTGGTCTGGAACTCCTGACCTCAGGTGATCTGTCTGCCTCGGACTCCCAAAGTGCTGGGATTACAGGTGTGAGCCACAGCGCCTGGCCACAATTTTCTATTTTCAACCCTGGACCTGCCCCTCTCCTTTTCACCCCATCCCTACCCTCAGCTGCAAATTCAGGCTCTGTAGGAGAAAATGGAATAAGAAACGAAGCCCTTGGGGCCTCCCTCATGCAGCCCCTAGAAAGGATCCATCCTTTGGAGCCCAGGCTTGTCCTGATCAGTCCCTGGAGCACAGACACCCACCCACCCCCTTCCAGCTTAGGGCCGCCTCTGGCATGCCTGGGGCACTTGAGGCCTCCTGCTTCCCAGCTCTGCCTGCGTCTGGCTGCCTGAGGCCCCTGGGAGGCATAGGGGCTTCAGCTACTCCCCTTCAGGCTGGTTCCTCAGGCTGGCAGAGACAGGCTGGGGGCAGGGAGGGTCCCCTGGGTAAAGGTGCCCGTGACGAGCTGCAATGCCAGCACATCTGTGCAAATATTACCAATTATTTTCCTCACTATAAACACCCAGCAGGAAGACAGAGAAGCAACCAACCCAAACTGTTCAAAATAGAAACTGAAATTGCTGCACAGGGAAGTCGGGGCAGCCAGCAGAGTGGGGGCCCTGCACCAAGAACCCAGCCCCGGTCCCCGCAGCTGCCCTGATGCTGGACCTGCTCTGGCTGACCCCACCCTCCAACCCCATCTCAACTTTCTCCCCTACAGGCCAGGCTGGAATGGGATGGAAAAGGGCCTCACCTAGGGGATGTGGGATATAAGGGAGGGTAGCCAAATGGGCCCTGTGTGGGGGTGGGCAGATGGCAGAGGGGGCAGCCACAGAGGAGCCAGGAACTGAGGCCACCTGGCCTGTGGTCCAGGACAGCTGCTGGGCAAGTGGAGCCACGGGGGCTGTGGGCAAAGGAGTGGGAGGAGAGCCTCCCTTCACTGTTCCCCAGCCCCAGGGAAGAAGGGGTGTCCTAAGGGTGGCAGGCCAGGGGTCCTGGGGGCTGGACCCAGGGGAAACAGTGACCTGGCCCCACTCCGAGTGACAAGAATTTTTCCGATGGTGGGAAGGACTAGAAACCCACTCCCAGAACCCCGGCAGCCTTCTCCATCTCTTCCTCCCGATGAACAGGGCGGATAGACAGCAGGTCCATGGACATAGTTGCAGGGATTGTCAGAACAGTGAAAATACTTCCACAGTAGTTGATAAACAGGCCAAGCCCTAAACCCTCCCAGTGTTTCCCTCTCCTGCCTCCCTGGCCCCTCCCCAGAACTCCAGACTTCTCTGCTTCAGGAACTGAAGTGTTAACAGCTGACACAGGGCCCCGCCCCCTCCCAAATGCGTCTGTCCATGCCTGACTGCCCTGGTGGCTAAACGGCTCTGATGTTGCCCCTGGGCACATGCACCACTCATCAGTGTGCCCCTGCACCCTGCTGCTTCCCAGAGACAGACTCAGCACAGTCCCTGAACCCCACTCAGAAGGTGGGGCAGGGGTCAGTGGCCAAAGGTGTGAGTCCTGGAACGCTGCAGCAGGAAGGAACCCGGGAGGTGATCTAGTCACAATCCCTCATGCTACAGATGAGACAACAGAGACCCAGAAAGGGTTGCCAGTTGCCCAGTGTCACACAGCAAGTCACGAGCCAAGCCCAGGCCTTGCCTCACAGGCCCTGGAGTTGCTGAGCTAGGCTGGTGATGTCTGCTTGCCTTGGAAACAGAAAACCCAGGGACAACTGCCGCTGCTGCCCAGTGAATATTAACAAACTTGCTTCTCTCAGCCTTCCTTCCCCGGCTGTTTCCGGCTTCAAAGGCTTCCCCGGCTGGCCCCTCCCTGGGGCTGACACCTTGGCCCTTCTATTTTTGGTGGCTTGGTAGGGGTGGGGCAGGAGAGCGACAGCCTTGCTTTTGCCTGCCCTGAGCTCATGGCAGCCCCCGGGTGCTCTCTCATCCTCTCTGCCATGGGGGGAGGAGCTACTCTGGGCGGGGGAGTCCCCACGGGGAGACTCAGATGTTCTGAACAAAAATAAAAGGTGCTCGTGTGGCCCATCTGCATTTCCAAATACTTCCAGCCCACATCCCTTGAACTGCTTTTACCTCTCTCCCACTAAAGAGCCAGGCAGGTTTCAAAGCCAGTTCTAGCTCCTCCAGGAAATGACAGAGAAAGAAACTCCCAGGGGGCAGGATCCCTCAGAGGCAGCCAGAAGGGGACAAAGGGGACAGTGAGTGTGCTTGCACCAGTGGGCAGGGCTGGGGTGAGGCAGCAGGGCCAGGCTACGTTGACAGAGCACCCTGGGTGCACAAAGGACCTTCACACCACTCTTTCTACCACTGAGGCTGGTGTTCTTGTCCCCATTTCACAGACAGGAAGACTGAGGACCTCGAGGCCTTTCCCAGTTCCACAGATCAGTGAATGGTGCCTCGTCCTCTGGGAGCCTGCTGTGGCTCCACCCTCACCCACTGCCTCCCTTCCTGAAGCCAACTCCTGGCCATTTTCCCTCATTAACCTCCGCCAGCCCTGTCCCTAACACTTGCGCTCAGAGCTGGCTGGCCCAGAGCACAGCCCAGTGGTTAACAGCAGAGAAGAGGGGAGCCCACCACCCAGTTCAAATCCCATCCCCAGCCTCTGTGCAACTTCGGGTAAGATGTTGCTTGGTGTTTTCTCATCTGGAAAACGGGGATCGTGATGGTGACTGACCCCGTTAAGATGACTGTGAATATTACATGAATTAACACTTGTATGGCTCCCGCAAAATTGAGTGTCTCGTAAGTGCTATATGGAATTTCTTTAAAATTATCTCCAGCTGACCACCATTTAAATGGCTTCCCTGCCAGAAGTGTGTCACCTCCCTCAGCCCCATCCCTTCCATAGCCAGAGATAATAGCCAAAGTCCTGATAGCTCTGGTCCCTGCTGGTCTCTGGGCAGATCTCGGCTGGCAGCAAGCTGAAGGCAGGGCCTGTTTCCCGTCTCGCTGCCTTTGTTTAGGCTGCTCCCCCTGCCTGTAATTCTGGTATCTGCCTCCACACCCTGAGATTCTTTTCCTCCAAACTGATAAAAATAATTTTCCAAGACACGTCTCAAGAAAACCTCATTTTCTCGGCAGCTGTTTCTGTCAACTCACCCCAGCCCCAACACCAGGTAGAACTAGCCACCCTCTTTCGTGAACCACCGCTACACCTGTTCATATCGACATGACGGCCACATCTAGACATCTGCTTTTCTGAGGGTGGAGCTCGTGTTTGCTCAGGGCATCCCAGGTCTGACGTGGGGACTGCCTTCCACAGACACTCGACCCTTGTTCACTGTTGACATCACTGGGAAAGAAGTGACTTGCCTCCAGGCTGGAGGGAGTCGGGGCAAGGTTCTTTCCACTTTAATTTCCTCTTCAATGGGAAAATCATCCACATCTTGGGGTAGATGGGAGCAGGGAGGAAGTCTCTAGGTGGCAAGGACTTTACAATTCCGAGGACGATCAAAGAGACCAGAAAGAGCAGTATGAGCCCGTGGGGTGCCCAGCCTGGTGGTATCTGCAAAGGGACACAGCACAGAACTTTACCCACCTCCTCCCCTCTTTCATCAGGGATGCCATAAAGACCACCCTTCTGGTGCTGCAAGGTCTGTGCTCTGTAGGAAGAATAAACAAGGGGAACAAAGAAGCCAGAGCAGCTGCTCACTGCTCTCCTCCTCTGGTCTCCCCCAGGCTGTGGGCTGAGGATAGAGAAGAGGTTCTTCCTTGGTTTCCTCTGCACCCAACTTAGCCCCTGGGTCACCCCCAACCCCCATTGTCCAAAGGAGCCTACAAGTCTGGGTACCACTGGCCTGTCCACAGTCACCTCTGAAGACCAAGGCCAGAAACAGGAGCACTTTCCCATCCTTCACCAAGTCCTGTGACTCTACCACTCCCCAATCTCCCCGACTCTATTTCCTGCTATCTCTATCTCCAAGCCCTAGTCCAAGCCCCCATCAGCTCTTACTCAGACTCCTGCAAAACCTCCTAAATGACCTATCACATGATGCAACATGGATGAACTTTAAGGAGATCAGGCTAAGTGAAATAAGCCAGTCTCCAAAGAACAAATACTGGATGATTCCATTTATGTGAGGTACCTCGGGTAGTCACATTCCTAGAAAGAGAAAGAAGAATGGTGATTGCCAGGAGCTGGGGGAGGGAAAAACTGGGATTTGTTTAATGGGCATAGAGTGTCAGCTTTGCAAATTGAGAAAGTTCTAGAGATCTGTTGCAAAACAACATGCATGTACTTAATTGTACTGAACCGTACACTTAAAATGGGTAAGATGGTAAATTTTATGCTATGTGTTTGTTTTGTTTTGTTTTGAGACAGAATCTTGCTCTGTCTCCCAGGCTGGAGTACAGTGGCACAATCTCTGCTCACTGCAACCTCTGCCTCCCAGATTCAAGTGATTCTCATGCATCAGCCTCCCAAGTAGCTAGGACTAAAGGCGCATGCCACCACACTCAGCTAATTTTTGTATTTTCAGTAGAGACGGGGTTTCGCCATGTTGGCCAGGCTGGTCTCGAATTCCCAACCTCAAGTGATCCCCCCACCTCGGCCTCCCAAAGTCCTGAAGTGCTGGAATTACAGGCGTGAGCCACCACACCTGGCAAGAAATTTTAAACATAGTTTATCTGTTTCCTTGTAAGTACCTTAGAGCAAGCTTGTCCAACCTGTAGCCTACACAGCCCAGGACAGCTTTGAATGCTGCCCAACACAAATTCGTAAACTTTCTTGAAACATTATGAAGTGTGTGTCAGTGTGTGTGTGTGTGCACGCACGTGTGTTTAGCTCATCAGCTATCGTTATTATTAGTGTATTTCATGTGTGGCCTAAGGCAATTCTTCTTCTAGTGTGGCCCGGGGAAGCCAAAAGATCGGACACCCCTGCCTTAGAGTAGGGGAGCGCTGTAATTGACACATCTCTTATTTGAGAAGTAGTGTCTGTTGCCCTTATCAGGTTTAATTACAAAATTTGATCATGATCATATTGTAGCCTCTCAAAGTGCTCTAGAAATTGTCAGTGGTATACATGAAGCGGCAGTGGTGTCTGGTGCACTCTGAAATGCTATCAAAGTTGTACATATTTCCAAACATTTTTAAAATGAAAAGGCACTCTTGTGTTCTCATTCTGTGCGCTTTGCTATTGGAGTGACAAGGCATTTAAAGATGTTTCTGGCTTTTTTTTTTTTAATAAGGTGGTGTTAACTATCTGGTTATTGACTAGAAATCCTGAGTTATCAATTGTATATCTGTACGGTTTGTAAAAAGAACAAAACAACCAAGGCAGACTCTTGACGGCTCCTTGCTTGGCATTGAGGCTCTGGGGGAAGATGCCTTTTGGAGGGGCTGTAGCTCAGGGCGTGCACTGTGAATCTGGACCTGTTGACTCTGCAGGGCTTCCATTTAGCTTCAAGTTGTCTTGTTTCTGCATATAGTGACGGAGCATTCTGCTGCCATTCTTAGCTGTGGACAAAGAGGGTCAGCCGGCATGAGAAGTGTTTGGGGGGTTTAGTTTGTTTGTTTTAGTTAAGTGTGGTAATTTTTAAACTTTTTTTTTTTTTTTTGAAACAGGGTCTCACTCTGTTACCCAGGCTGGAGTGCAGTGGCGTGACCTCGACTCACTGCAGCTTTAACCCCCTGGACTCAGGTGATCCTCCCACCTCAGCCTCCTGAGTAGCTGGGACTACAGGCACCTGCCACCATGCCAGGCTAATTTTTGTATTTTTTTGTAGAGACAGGGTTTTGTCATGTTGCCCAGGCTGGTCTCGAACACCTGGGCTCAAGTGATCCACCCACTTTGCCCACCTCGGCCTCTCAAAGTGCTAGGATTATAGGCATGAGCCACCACGCCCAGCAGAAAACTGTTTTTAAACAAACTGTAGAACTCCTCATTATCAGCAAAGCAAGAGACATCACGTCAATGAAAGTTCAAGAACCGTCTGTATTTAAACACGATTTGTAATGTTCTGTTATTTTTTGTATGTTGAGAATGCTGAAATGTGTTTGAAGTTAAACAAATGTATTACATGTTTTAAATATTCTAATGCTATTATAAATCTGCCCAGTCTCTTTTCGAGGATGATTTTAATGCGGGGAGGAAAAAAAAGCAACCCTCTGAAATGTTCTCCCTGCCTCCTCCCTGGCCTCTTTTTAGCTACATTGAATTTTCCTGAAGGCAAATTTGGTCGAGTCATCCTCCCTTGATTAAAGCTTTCAAAGGACATCTATTTCTCTTAGATAAAAAACCAAACTAACCTGCTTATGAGCCCCTGCCACTTCACACCACAACCCAAGCTCCCTGCACCTCACCATGTCTGCCTTCCTTCAGCCCTTCACACTTGCAGGGCCTTTGCATATGCAACTTCTTCTGCCTGAAATACTTTTCCTTTCCTTCTTGGACTAATTAGCTCCTATTCATCCTTCCTGCCTTGGTTCTAAAGGCACTTCCTCTGGGAAGCCCTCTTCTCCCCAGCCTGGCCAGGTCTATCCCCATGATTGAACATCTTTGAGCCCCATGTTCTCCTTCTTCAAAGCCCAGGTTCCAGCTGTAATTGTGCGTTTATTTCTCTGAGTATCAGACTAATGTCTGACTTCTCACATTATAACTCCTGTGCCCAGGTAGGTGACAGCTTAAGCAAACAAAAACAAAAGGACTGTCAAAGACTCGTAAAATCAACTACATAAATTGAAGCATCATAATAAAAAGATATAGAGTATTTACTCTGTGCCAAACCTTGTTCTAAGCACTTTACAAATATTACTCAGTGAACCCTTGGAATATCCCTAGGAGGCTGGTTCTATTGAGATCCCTGCTTTAGGGATAAGGAAACTGAGGTCCAGAAAGGTAAAGTAACTTGCCCTTTGTCACACAGCGAATAGGTGGAAGTTGGAATCTAAACCCAGCTAGCAAGGGGAATTTGAGCACAGGTCATCCTCCTCCACAGTTCAGGCACCTTGGTCATGACCCCATCCCAACCCTCAAGCCTGATGCCACTGATCTGTTTCTCTCTGCCCTCCTCACTTCCCCCATTGCCTCTTTCCTATTCCCTTCCTAAATGACACTGGGCAGGGTGAGGGTCATGGAGAGAGGAATGTGTGTTTTAAGGAATAGCCGCTCCCTGCAACCTAAAGAAGGCCAGCAAAACTGCCTAGCACTCGTGAAGCCAGCCAGTGGATGGTGATGACCAGAAATAGCCTTTGGTTTTCTACGAAGAGGACAGAGCCATAGGAACCCACATCCCATAGGGACCCAGAACAGACACCTAGAGAGGGAGCAGGGATCCTGGGAAACAGGACCACCAGGACCTGGGGAGGGGGTTGGTCCCTGAGTTGGGGATGACAGCCAGTATCCAGCTAGAGATGTGTGTCAGTGGCATGAGTGCAGGTCCTGGCTGCCATACCCTTCCCACTGTGCAGGCCTCTGCCCAGGAGACAGGCCATTTGCCACCCTGCCCATGCAGGGGAACTGTGTGTTGCTCAGGATAGCTGGAGGGATGTGCTGGAGCCAGAGGTTTCCTGTGGATAGCTGCCTGCTTACATTGGATAAACCACGAGCAGGCAATGAAAGGAGACTTCAGAGTTTTAGACTTGGATTCCAAAGTGCCACCATATGCCAGCTACTGTGCTTATTCTTTTTTGAATTAGCCCACATTTTATAGACCATAAAACTGAGGCTCGGAGAGGTAAGTTAAATTGCCCAACTAGCAAGGAAGTGGGGCGCCTTAGAATTCATTACGAGGTCTTCAGTCTCCAGATTAACCCTCTGCTCCTCAAACCCCATCTTCCAGTAAGGAAGAGTCTGAAAATGGCAGAAAAACTCAGGTGCAGGGACCAGCTTCCACTCCTACCTGAAATAATTCTTCACTTTCTTCTTTACCTCAACCTGGGCAGGAGCTGTGTCTGGTTATGTGAGCAGGGAAACATCTCATTACTCACCAGCCCTCTGCCCAACACAGCTGGCCCCCTTAACTCAAAGCCCCCTCCAGGCCCCCTACAGGCTCCAAATCCACTCTTTTCACACTCCCACAGCCTGCAGGTAGAGGGGTGATGAGCAGCCTTCTCCAGCTGCACCATCTCCCAGGGGCGGGATGTGGAGGATTCCACACTCCAAGAAGCCAATTAAGGATCCTCATCCTGGCAGAGCTGCTGGACCTGGTGCTACTTGAACACTCCCTGCCTCCCTCGCCCCTGCTCCCAGGAGTCTACCTGGGATGCCTCAGAGCTCCCCAGCCAGGGGCCAGGCCGAGTAGGATGGGGAGCTGCCCTCTCCCTTTCCACCAGCCAGCTCCGGCCCCTGCCCAGGCTCTGCCCAGACTCCCAACTTCCTTCCATGATTAAGCATCAATTAAATACTGACTGAGCATCTGGTAAGCATAAAACAGTCTACTATGTTCTCCACAGCAGAAAGCATCTCTTTTCTGCAGAAGTGAGGCCAGTGGGGATGGCCTCTATGCTGGTCCTTGTGCACACCAAGCATGCCCCTGCCTGGGCTTTTGCACTGGCCGGTCCTGGTCCTTCCTCCAGAAACAGCCTTCTCCCAGTGTCTGCCATATCTGCATTGCTCACTCCAACATCACCTCCTCCAGGCCATCCCAGACAGGCCTGCCTTAAGTAACCACCCTGCTCCTATCCCCTGACCTGTTTCATTTTTCTTCATAGCTCCCTTCCTTCCTGACATTTGCTTACCGGTCTGTTGGTCAGCCTTCCCCTGTTTGGAATGCAAACTCCACGAGAAAGAGACTCCTAGGTCTTAGTCATGGCTGACTCCTTGGGGCTTAGAACAGGGATGGGCACATGGGTTCCCAGTAAAGATCTCTTCAATGAATGAGACCCAGCTGGAACCAGCTCTGTGACCCCCTGCAGAGCCCTCCATCAACCTCCCAGGGCTTTGGCCTCCCACTCATAATGTGAAAGGATTGGTGCTTTCTAACTGGGGTCTTAATCAGGATCCCTAAGAGTGATCAAAAGAAGAATGGGGGCAAGGGGTCCATGAACTATTTTTTTTAATTGAAGTAAAATTCTCATAACATAAAATGAATAATGCCGTGGTGTTTATTTCATATACAGTGTAGTGCAACCACCACCTCCATCTAGTTTCAAAACACTGTCGTTACCCCAAAAGGAAACCTGCACTCAGCAGGCAGGTGCTCCCCATCCCCACGCATGCCCAAGCCCTTGGAAACCACCAATCTGAGTCCTGTCTCTATGGATTTACCTATTATGAATATTTCATATAAATGAAAAAATACAATACATGGCCTTTTATGTCTGGCTTCTTTCCCTTTGCATAATGTTTCTGAGGTTCGTCCGCATTACAGCATGCATCAGCACTTCATTTCTTTTTATGGCTGAACAATATTCCATTGTCTGGATAGACCACTATTTGTTTATCCATTCACCCATAAATGCTGTGAGCTATTTTTACAAGCTTTTCCCAAATCTGTGATAAGACCATAAAATTTATTTTGGCTAAAAACAAACTTGAAAAATTTGTTTTGACTATGCCCTATGTTTTCATCCAAAATCTGCCTACATTTTGTCTGGCTAAGATGAGTTTGGTGCCGGGCACAGTGGCTCACGCTTGTAATCCCAGCACTTTGGCAGGCCAAGGCAGGCAGATCACAAGGTCAGGGGTTCAAGACCAGCCTGACCAACGTGGTGAAACCCTGTCTCTACTAAAAATACAAAAATTAGCCAGGCGTGGTGGGCACGCCTGTAATCCCAGCTACTCAGGAGGCTGAAGCAGGAGAATCGCTTGAACCCGGGAGGCAGAGGTTCCAGTGAGCCGAGATCGCACCACTGCACTCCAGCCTGGGTGACACAGCGAGACGCCGTCTCAAAAAAAAAAATGTGTTTAGTAGACAAGAGCTTATAAAATACAAATCATAGAAAGAGAAGTGCTTGTAGAATCAGGACCTACAAGGACCTGATTCTATGGCTCTGGGTAAAATAATGCGGTCAGCCCCACCAGCACAGCCTCCTCTGTGGGTGGCTCAGAGTGGGCCACCATTCTCAGCCTTGTGTGCACTTTATCTTCACTCCTCACCCTCAGGCTCTCTGAGATAGGGACTGTCATGACCATTCTGTAGATGCGGCAGCTGCTCGAGGTCACACAGTGAATAGTGGTGGATTTGGCAACTGAGCCCAGACTGGGATTTAGAGGACAAACCTGTAACCACCCGGTGCTCAGCTGGTATCTTGGTCACACCTTGTCAAGCAGCCCTGCTGACCAGGAACCAGGTGAGCAGAGCAGACAAAAGCCCTGAGGAGAGGCGGTAGAGCTCAGTGGTCGGCGAAGGCGGGGCATGCACTGATTCAGGTGATAACAACCTGCTTCACGGGGTTGATGGGGCACTTAAATGAGACCAGGTGAAAATGCAAATCTCAGTGCCTGTGACATCACCGTAACTACTGCATACTGACTGCAGGAGAAAGGGAGCTCAGGCTTATGAAGGACATAAAAACACAGATAGGATAGAAAAACAGATAGGATAAAAACACAGATAGGATAAAAAAACAGATAGGATAGAACCTAACTTTCAGAAAGTCTAGCTGGGCGCAGTCGCTCACACCTGTAATCCCAGCACTCTGGGAGGCCGAGGCAGGAGGATCACTTGAGCCTAGGAGTTCGGGACCAACCTGGGCAACATGTTGAGATCTTGTCTCTATAAAAAATTTAAAAATAGCCAGGTGTGGTGACGTGTGCCTGTAGTTCCAGCTACTTGGGAGGCTGAGGTGGGAGGATCCCTTGAGATGAGGAGGTTGAGGCTGCAGTATGTTGTGACCACGCCACTGCACTCCAGCCTGGGTGAAAGAGCAAGACCCTGTCTCAAAAAAAAAAAAAAATTCCTAAAAGGTGGTATTCTAAAGAGGGAGAGGGAGCCACACCAGTGATCACACAGTAGTCACTTTGGCATATGGGCTTTGGTTTCATTGTCTATAAAATGTCCCTACTATGTTTCACATATACCCTTATTAAAGTACCTACTGATTTCAATCATTTGTTTGCATGCCTGTCTCCTTATTCTACTGTGAGCTCCTCGAAGGCAGAATCCCATCTGTTCATCTGTGAACCCCTGTGCCTAGCATATGCCCAGCCTAGGCCCATGGGAGTTTAGAAAATGTTTGAGAAATAAACAACTGTGAACTCTGAGGACCTTTCCAGCTCAGAACTTCTCCAAGTCTGAGTTTTCAGTTCAACAAATAATCCGTGGTGCACTGGCCTGGGCACTGCAGGACACAAAGAGATAAGCCAATAAGACTTCAACACTATTCCAAGAACAGGTATTTGTGATGAATCAATTTTTAGGAAGTCATACTGCAGATACTCTTGTCCACCTGCCCAAAGATGTAGGCTCAAGGATTCTCACTGAAGCCTTGTGTTATGGTAGCATTAAAAGATTGGAAACAGGCCTGGCGAGATGGTGCATGTCTGTAATCCCAGCTTTTTAGGAGGCCAAGGCGGGAGGATCACTTGAGCTCAGGAGTTTGAGACCAGTCTGGGCAACACAGCGAGACACCATCTCTACAACAAATACAAAAATCAGCCTGGCATGGTGGCATGTGCCTGTAGTCCCAGCTACTCAGGAGGATGAAATGGGAGGATCACTTGAGCCCGGGAGGTCGAGGCTGCAGTGAACCAAGATCACACCACTGCACTCCAGCCTGGGTGATAGAGCCATACCCTGTCTCGGAAAAAAAAAAAAAAAAAAAAGATTGGAAACAACCTAAATGCCAATCAGTAGAGGGCTGGCTGCATAAATGCTGTTATAGTCATCTAATGGAATGCTATGTAGACATTAAAAAGAATGAAGCAGGCTTAAATATGCAAAACATGATACAATCTCTGAGACAGATAATTCAGTGCAAAAATAAATTTACAGAAGTCTATGTACTATCCTATTTGTGTGGTTTTTGCCCAAGGAATACATACATACTTAACAAATGCAAAGACTAGCTCTAGAACAGTGCTGTCCAATAAAATCATAATGTAAGCCACAATTGCAAGCCATGTCTGTAATTATGTAATTTTAAATTTTCCAGTATTCTCATTAAAGAATAAAACAAAATAGGGGAAATTAATATTAATATATTTTACTTAACTCAATATAGCCAAAATATTATTGTTTGAACATTTAATCAATCTTTTTAAATTACTTTGTATCTATATTTTTGTACCAAGTATTTGAAATCTGTATATATTTTACACTTACGACACATCTCAATTCAAACTAGCCACATTTCAAGTGCTCCATAGTCACATGCCACCATACTGGACAGGACAGTTCTGGAAGGACTTCAGAGGATGGTAACAATAGAGATTTCAGGTAATTGAAAATCAGGAAAGGGGCTGGGGGCAGTGGCTCATGCCTGTAATCCCAGCACTCTGGGAGGCCGAGGAGGGCAGATCATCTGAGGTCAGGAGTTCGAGACCAGCCTGGCCAACATGGCAAAACCACATCTCTACTAAAAATACAAAAATTAGCTGGGTGTGGTGGCACACGCCTATAATTCCAGCCACTCAGGAGGCTGAGGCAGGAGAATCACTTGAACCTGGGAGGCGGAGGTTGCAGTGAGCCAAGATCACACCACTCCACTCCAGCCTGGGTGACAGAGCAAGACTCTGTCTCAAAAAAAAAAAAAAGAAGAAGAAGAAAGAAAGAAAGGAATGAAGGAAGGAAGGATGAAAGAAAGAAAGGGGGAAAGAAAGAAAGAAAAAAGAAGAGAAGAGAAAAAAAGAAAGAAAAGAGGGAGGGAAGGAAGGAAGGAAGGAAGGAAGGAAGGAAGGAAGGAAGGAAAGAAAGAAATCAGGAAAGGAAGAAGTAGCTTTCACTATATGCTCTTTTGTTCTGTTTGACCTTTTTTTCCCCGTGCGCATGCATTACCTATTTTTTAAAACTCATCATTTTAAAGGAAAGGAAAAGCCAGAAAGAGAAACAGAAAAGCAGGGGTGTTGGTAGGAGATTCCAGATATGCAGGTGCAATGTCACGGGGGTCAAGAGAGGGGAGCTTTTCAGAAAATGAGGAGGAGGTGGAGGAGGTACCCTGAAGTGACTTCAGATTTGACATCTGGGACATTGTTCATCACTCATTGGTGACATCTGATCACTGCTTCGGGAGAGGGGAGGGGTGGAACAAGACTGCCGCCAGTTAGGAGAGGGAGGCCATCCATGTGGTCCTCCATGGAGAGGAGAACCACAGACTCTCACAAGGGAGCTAAACAACCCATGACAAATGCAGAGGTGGCCCAGGTGATAAGGGCCGCGGGGTGGCTCCTGGAAGCCCTGGGCAGGCAGCATGGGATAAAGGCAGGTGGAGAACAGGTGGCTCAGGGAGCAAACGTGACCTGGAAACAGCACAATGCTGAGAAGCGGAGATGAGTCCCCCTGGGACTGAGTGATGAAGAGGAGGGGAACCCAGGAGGCCGGGAGAGAGCAGCAATAACCAGCTCAGCTAACAACTGACTTCTTACCCTCTTGGGGCCCCAGACCCCTTTGAGAATTTGACAGCAGCTGAGGACCCTCCCTGAGGAAAATGCACCCCTGCACACACAATTTTATACACAACTTCAGGGCTGGTCAGAGCCCCTGAGGGCCACCCCAGGTTACACCTACTACACGGCTCACTGTGGCCTACAGGATGTGGCCGAAAATCCTCATCTGCCCTTCACAGTCAGGCCCCACCAGCCGCTCTGGCCTCATCCTCTGCCCACTCACCGCTGTTTCTCAAGAGCCAATTCTCTCCTTCCCTTTGTTCTGAGTGTGTTTGACTCTAAGCTGGCCTTTCCCTCTCAGGAATTCTTCCTCCTCCTCTTCACCATTCAGAAGCTGCCTCCCTCCTCCAGGCACTGTTAATTATGTCTTCCACTGAGTACACACATCCAAATTAAATGTTGCATATTATTATAGTTTGCTTGTGTTTCAGTTGTTCCCATCTCCTTTCCCACCAAGATTTTACTTAACCTGAGAGCCAGGACCTTATCTGTTGCATAGGCGGTATCTAATAAATGAATGAGGAGGCCAGGCTCAGTGGTTCACACCTGTAACCCTAGCATTTTGAGAGGCCGAGATGAGAGAATTGCTCGAGCCCAGGAGTCGGACACCAGCCTGGGCAACATAGCAAGACCCCCTCTCTACAAAAATAAAAAAATTAGCCGGGCATGGTGCCACGTGCCTGTAGTCTCAGCTACTCAGGAGGCTGAGGTAGGTGAACTACTTAAGCTCGAGAGGTTGAGGCCGCAGTGAGCCATGCTTGTGCCACTGCACTCCAGCCTGGGTGACAGAGCAAGACCCTGTCTCAAATAAATAAATAAATGAAATATCATTGAATTACGGAAGAGACCCTGGATGGTCCTGTTTCCAGCAGCCCCTAAGGACCCAGAGAAGGGTTTGTAGGCACTGTAGTTGAATGTTTGGCTATGCTCCCACCTAACAGGAATGTTATCTTTTGCTTAGGAAGTAAGTGTTGACTCTTACTCCATAGTTCCAAGGTAGAAGTCCCAGATTGTGGACTGGGGAGAATGAAGCACAGGGCTGGGGAGGAGCCCTGTGGGTGTGGCTGCCAGATGGTTTCTTGTTTGTTTGTTTGTTTTGAGACAGAGTCTCTTTCTGTCACCCAGGCTGGAGTTCAGTGGTGCAATCTCGGCTCACTGCAGCCACGGCCTCCCTGGTTCAAGCAATTATCCTGCCTCAGCCTCCCGAGTAGCTGGGATTACAGGTGCCTGCCACCACGCCCAGCTAATTTTTGTATTTTTTGTAGAGACAGGGTTTCACCATGTTGGCCAGGCTGGTCTCAAACTCCTGACCTAGTGATCCGCCCGCCTCGGCCTCCCAAAGTGCTGGAATTACAGGCGTGAGCCACCGTGCCCAGCCTAGCCAGATGTATTTTTTAATTGAGGTGGAATTAACATAACATACAATTGACCATTTTAATTCAGTGGTATTTTGTGCATTCACAGCGTTGTGCAATCACTGCCTCTTTTTAGTTCCAAAACTTTTTCATCACCCTAAAACACCCCTAGCCATTAAGCAATCGCTCCCCATTTCCCCCTCTTCTCCTTCCTCAGCAATGATCAAAGTTGTTGAGTTGCAAGAGTCCTTAGTCTGAATATTAAACTCCTCTACTTTGCAAATCTTTTCTCCCTTTTGTAGATAACATCCTAAGATGTGCAAAACTTTTTAATTTTTATGAAGTCTGGTGAACCTATTTTTGTTGTTGTTGCTCATGCTTTTGGTGTCAAATCTAAGACTTCTTTGGCAAATCTAAAGTCATAAAGGTGTACCCCTTTGTTTTGTGCTTATCGTTTTAGCATTTATATTTAGATTGTTGATCCATTTTTAGTTACTTTGTACATGTGAAGTAAGGTAGGGGTCCACTCCATTCTTTTGCATGTGGTTATCCAGTTGTACCAACATCATTTGTCAAAGAGTTTATTCTTTCCCCTTTGAATGATCTTGCAACCCTTGTCAAAAATCAACTGGCCATAGATATTCTAGGTCTACTTCTGGAATCTCAATTCTATTCCATCTGTCTATATGTCATATTTATCCCAGTACCACATCATTTTGATTACTGTAGTTTTGAAGTAAGTTTTGAAATTGGGGACTGTGAGTTATCTAGTGTTGTTTTTCCTTTTCAATATTGTGACTATTCAGGGTCCCTTGCAATTCCATAAAAATCTGAGGATAAGCTTTTCCATTTCTGCCAAAAAAAAAAAAAAAGCTACTTGGATTTTGATGGGGATTGCATTGAATTTGTAGCTCACTTTAGGGAGTATTGCCATCTTAACTACACTAAGTCTTCCAATCAATAACATGGGATGTCCTTCCATTTATTTAAGTCTTCTTTAATTTATTTCAGCAATGTTTTGTAGTTTTCAATGTGCAAGGCTTTCACTCCTTGGTTAAATTTATTTATAGGTATTTTATCTTTTGGATGCTACTGTAAATGGAATTGTTTTCTTAATTTCCTTTTCAGATTGTTCATTGCTGGTATAGGGAAACACAACTGATTTTTGTGTATAAATCTTGTACTCTACAACTTTGCTGAATTTGTTTATTAGCTCTCTAGTGGGGTTTTTTAGGGGAGATTCTTTGGCATTTTCTAGATACAGAATCATGTGATCTACAAACAGAGATAGTTTTATCCTCCTTTTCCAATTTGGATGCTTTTTGTTTCTTTTTCTTGCCTAATTATTCTAGTTAGGACTTCCAGTACATTCTCAAATAGCAATAATAAGGTTGCCTAATTTAGCAAACAAAAATACAGGACACACATTTGGACAGGACAGGATTTGGGACATACTTACACTAAAAATTTTATCATTGTTATTCTGAAATTTAAATTATCTGGATTTAAATTTATCTGTATTTTATCTGGAAGATCCCAGGAAATGGCCCCACAAGTGCCCACGCTGCCAACCAGTCCTTCTTTACCCTCCCCATTATTCTTTTCAGGCTCTTGCCATTCCTGCCCTGCCATTCTGGAAACTTGGACACCAGAAACAGCTTTGTCTAAGCCTCAACTCTGTGATCCCTACTGTGCCAGACACTAAGAAGGTGGCTCAAAATAACTGCTTCCTTTCCACTCCTGCTCTCAACAAGCAGAGGTGAGGGTCAGGTTTTGGGAGAAGCTAAAAAGACAAAGCCTATGCCACCATCACCCTACAGCCAGATGCTGAGGCCCTGCAGAGAAAGGGGTTTAACCGAGGTCCAGAAGTTTAGGTTGGGGGTGGGAAGGGTTTTGAGGACAGGGTGAATGTCTAGGACTTTCCACCTCCATAAAGATGTTTCCACAAGTTTTTCTCTTTGATCTTCTCAGCAATCCCTAAGGAAGCCTGGCAGTTATGATCGCCCCTAGTTCATGAGTGGTGGAAGTCAGCACCAGAGAGCTGAAATGACCACCTAAAGCCATGCAGCTGACGAATCCTCTACAGAGCAGGGTCTGCACCAGGCTCTCTGAGTTCCACCAAGCTCAGTGCTCTCCAGAATGGAAGGCAGTGGGACTTTGACTCCTCATCCAAGCATAATGTCCACTGGGCTTCAGGAAGACCAGTCCCTCAACTCACTCTAGACTATTTCAACCCTTGTCTCATCACTAGGCTTACTGGGCCTTCCTATGACACCCCATCCACCTCTCCAACCTCAGCCCTAGGGATTCTGGGGAGGCAGAACAGAGCCCACTTGCATCTAACCAAAAAATGAGCCTCACTGCCTCTTATGTCCCCACCTTTAATCCTGTTAATCTGCCTTTCACCCCAGGACCTCTCTTCTTGCCTCCTTCCCCATCTCAAAACTGAGTTGAATACCAGTGATGCCTACTTTATTGTTTTTATTTGTTATATTGTTAGCATCATTATTATTAATGGCCAAAATTTATACATTTATATTCACCCACTCCTTGGACTGTTCAGCTATCCATTTAATTCATATTTGCTGTATTTTTTGAGCACCTAGTATGTGCCACAGACTATGTTGGGCCCTGCATAGGGCCGAAATTTATACATTTATATTCACCCACTCCTTGGACTGTTCAGCTATCCATTTAATTCATATTTGCTGTATTTTTTGAGCACCTAGTATGTGCCACAGACTATGTTGGGCCCTGCATAGGGCCGAAATTTATACATTTATATTCACCCACTCCTTGGACTGTTCAGCTATCCATTTAATTCGTATGTGCTATATTTTTTGAGCAACTACTATGTGCCACAGACTGTGTTGGGCCCTGCAACTAAGCCAAAACCTTGGCAGTGGTTCTCAACCCTTGAGGAAGCACTAAACATGGAAAGGAATCACCGGTACCAGCCACTGCAAAAACATGCCAAATTGTAAAGACCATCAATGCTAGGAAGAAACTGCATCAACTAACGAGCAAAATAACCAGCTAACATAATAATGACAGGATCAAATTCACACATAACAATATTAACCTTAAATGTAAATGGGCTAAATGCTCCAATTAAAAGAGACAGACTAGCAAATTGGATAAAAAGTCAAGACCCATCAGTGTGCTGTATTCAGGAGACCCATCTCATGTGCAGAGACACACATAGGCTCAAAATAAAGGGATGGAGGAAGATCTACCAAGCAAATGGAAAACAAAAAAAAAAGCAGGGGTTGCAATCCTAGTCTCTGATAAAACAGACTTTAAACCAACAAAGATCAGAAGAGACAAAGAAGGCCATTACATAATGGTAAAGGGATCAATTCAACAAGAAGAGCTAACTATCCTAAATATATATGCACCCAATACAGGAGCACCCATATTCATAAAGCAAGTCCTTAGAGACCTACAAAAAGACTTAGACTCCCACACAATAATAATGGGAGATTTTAACACCCCATTGTCAACATTAGACAGATCCATGAGACAGAAAGTTAACAAGTATATCCAGGAACTGAACTCAGCTCTGCACCAAGCAGACCTAATAGACATCTACAGAACTCTCTACCCCAAATCAATAGAATATACATTCTTCTCAGCACCACATCACACTTATTCCAAAATTGACCACATAGTTGGAAGTAAAGCACTCCTCAGCAAATGTAAAAGAACAGAAATTATAACAAACAGTCTCTCAGACCACAGAGCAATCAAACTAGAACTCAGGATTAAGAAACTCACTCAAAACCGCTCAGCTACATGGAATATGAACAACCTGCTCCTGAATGACTACTGGGTACATAACGAAATGAAGGCAGAAATAAAGATGTTCTTTGAAACCAATGAGAACAAAGACACAACATACCAGAATCTCTGGGACACATTCAAAGCAGTGTGTGGCATATTTTAAGCAGGACTCAATACTTCTTGGGAGAGACTTCATTAAAACACTCATTTTTCTCTACATTTTATAATAAAAAAAGCTGGGAGCAGTGGCTCACGCCTGTA
Organism: Homo sapiens; assembly: GCF_000001405.40. Taxonomy (NCBI): domain Eukaryota; kingdom Metazoa; phylum Chordata; class Mammalia; order Primates; family Hominidae; genus Homo; species Homo sapiens. The sequence goes on along the minus strand of NC_000014.9, from coordinate 74,384,572 downwards.
ACCCCAGCACTCTGGGAGGCCAAGGCAGGCAGATCACAAGGTCTGGAGTTTGAGACCAGCCCGACCAACATGGTGAAACCCCGTCTCTACTAAAAATTCAAAAATTAGCTGGGCATGGTGGCGCACGCCTGTAATCCCAGCTACTCAGGAGGCTGAGGCAGAAGAATCACTTGAAACCGAGAGGCGGAGGTTGCCGTGAGCTGAGATCGGGCCATTGCACTCCAGCCTGGGTGGGCAACAGAGTGAGATTCCGTCTACAAAAATAAAGAAATTAAAAAATATATAATAAAAAAACTTTAAGCATGCAGCAAAGATGAAATAATTTTGTAACGAACACCCACCTAGATTCTCTCAGTGACATTATTGCTCTATCCATCTATCATCCTTCCTCCATCTATCATTCCGTCCTCATTTTTAAAATGTATTTCAAAGTAAATGACAGACATCTATCCACTCTCCCTAAATATTTCATCATGCATATTATCAACTAGAGTTCAATATTTGGTTATAGTTTTGTTTTCCTTTTTTTTTTCTTTGAGACAGAGTCTCTCTCTGTCACCCAGGATGGAGTGCAGTGGCGCAATCACAGCTTACTGCAACTCCACCTCCCAGGTTCAAGAGATTCTCCAGCCTCAGCCTCCCAAATAGCTGGGAGCTGGGATTACAGGCACCTGACACCACGCCTGGCTAATTTTTTTGTATTTTTAGTAGAGACAGAGTTTCATCATGTTGGCCAGGCTGGTCCCAAACTCCTGACCTCAGGTGATCCTCCCGCCTTGGTCTCCTAAAGTGCTGGGATTACAGGCCTGAGCCACTGCGCCCAGCCTCTTTTCCTTTCAATAAAAAATTTACATTATAATGAATTGCAAAATGTACATTTGCTTAAGTGTACATTTGCTGAGTTTTAACAATTGCACACACCTGTGGAAATCAAATCCCTATCAAGATATAAAACATTACCATAACTCCAGAAAGTTCTCTTTTGCTCATTTCCTGTCAATCCCTTCCTTATTCCTTTAAGAGGCAATCACTTTTTCTGGTTTTTATCTTCCACCATAGATTAGATTTGCCTATTCTAGATCTTTATAGAAATGGAAGTATGTAGTACAAACTGTTTCATGTTAGGCTTCTTTCGTTCAGCGAAGTGTTTTATTCATGTCACATGTATCAGTAGTTTATTTCTTTTTATTAATGAATAGTGTCCTTTGTATAGATAAAAATAGTGTTTTAGCATTTTCTTACTGATAAACATTTGAGTTGTTTCCAGTTTGGAGTTTTTAGGAATAAAGCTTCCATGGGCTGGATGCAGTGGCTCACACCTGTAATCCCAGCACTTTGGGAGGCCAAGGTGGGTGTATAACTTGAGTTCAGGAGTTGAAACCAGCCCGGCCAACGGATGAAACCCCACCTACTAAAAATACAAAAATTAGCCAGGCGTGGTGGTGCATGCCTGTAATCCCAGCTACTCCAGAGAGTGAGGAAGAAGAATTATTTGAACCCAGAGGGGAAGGTTGCAGTGAGCCAAAATCATGCTGTTGCACGCCAGCCTGGGCGACAAGAACAAAACTTGGTCTTAAAAAAAAAAAAAAAAAGCTTCCATTAACATTCTTATACAATATTTTTTGTGGAAATATATTTTCTTTTCTCTCAGGTAAATACCTAGAGGTGAAAATATTGAGTCAGAGGGTAAGCATATATTTAGTTTTTTTAAGAAACTCCCGGGCCAGGCACGGTGGCTGACACCTGTAATCCCAGCACTTTGGGAGGCCGAGGCAGGTGGATCACGAGGTCAGGAGATGGAGACCATCCTGGCTAACAGGGTGAAAACCCGTCTCTACTAAAAATACAAAAAATTAGCCGGGCATGGTGGCGGGCACCTGTAGTCCCAGCTACTCGGGAGGCTGAGGCAGGAGAATGGCATGAACCCGGGAGGCAGAGCTTGCAGTAAACCGAGATCGTGCTACTGCACTCCAGCCTGGGCACACAGCGAGACTCTGTCTCAAAAAAAAAAAAAGGAAAAAAAAAAAGAAACTCCCAAGCCTTTCCCATCAACAATGTATGACAGTTCCAGTTGCTCCATATCCTCATATTTAGTCTTACCAGTCTTTCTTAAGTTTAGCTGTGGGCCAGGTGTGGTGGCTCATGCTTGTAATCCCAGCACTTCAGGAGGCTGAGGTGGGAGGATTGCCTTGAGCTAAGGAGCTCAAGACTAGCTTGGGCAATATAGTGAGACCTTGTCTCTCTAAAAAATTAGCCCCAGTTACTTGGGGGACTGAGGTGGGAGAATCACTTGAGCCCAAGAGGTTGAGGCTGCAGTGACCCACGATTGTGTCACTGAACTTCAGTCTGGGTGACAGAGCAAGACCCTGTCTCAAAAAAAAAAATTTCAGCCAGCCTATCTCATTGTGGGTTTTTTGTTTGTTTGTTTGTTTGTTTGTTTTTGTAGAGGCGGCGGGGGGGGGTCGGGTCTCCCTATTTTGCCCAGGCTGGTGTCAAACTCCTGGCCTCAAGTGATCCTCCCACCTCAGCCTCCCAAAGTGAGGGGATTACAGATGTGGGCCACCACTCCTGGCCCTCATTGTGATTTTAATTTTCATTTCCCTTGTGTCTTACGATTTTGAGCACAATTTCATGTACTTATTGGCCACATGTATATCTTTTTTTGTGAAGTGTCGGTTCATATTTTTTGTCAATTTTGTTGTAATTGAGTCATTTGTCTTTATTAAGTTGCAGAAATTCTCTTATATCCTGTCTACCAGTTCTTTGTCAGGTATGTTTTACGAATATTTTTTCCCAATTTGTAGCTTGCCTGTTTGTTTTCTTAATGGCATTTCTCAACCCAGGAATCTGGGGTTTGTTTGTTTTTTTTTTTTTTTGGAGACGGAGTCTCGCTCTGTCGCCAGGCTGGAATGCAGTGGCGCGATCTCAGCTCGCTGCAACCTCCGCCTCCCAGGTTCAAGCAATTCTCCTGCCTCAGCCTCCTGAGTAGCTGGGATTACAGGCGCCCGCCACTACACCCAGCTAATTTTTGTATTTTTAGTAGAGACAGGGTTTCACCATGTTGGTCAGGCTGGTCTCGAACCCCTGACCTCGTGATCCACCCGCCTCGGCCTCCCAAAGTGCTGGGATTACAGGTGTGAGCCACCGCGCCCGGCCTGGGTTTTTTTTTTTTTTTTTAAACTTTTTATTGACATATACATAAAGTACCCAAACACAAGTATACAGCTTGGCAAATTCTCACAAACTGAACACACCCATGTACTAGAATTTGGTTTAAGAAACAGCATTTCTGGCAAGGGTAGTGGCACATGCCTATAATCCCAGCTACTTGGGAGGCTAAGACGGGAGGATCACTTGAGCCCCAGAAATTTAGGGCTCCAGTGAGCTCTGACAGAGTGAGCCCTGTCTCTAAAAAAAAATACAGAGCATGGCCGGGCGCGGTGATTCATGCCTGTAATCCCAGCACTTTGGGTGGCTGGGGTGGGAGGATCACGAGGTCGGGAGTTCGAGATCAGCCTGGCCAATGTGGTGAAACCCCGTCTCTACTAAAAACACAAAAGGTATCCAGGCATAGTGGCATGCTCCTGTAATCCCAGCCACTCGAGAGGCTGAGGTAGGAGAATCGCTTGAACCCAGGAGGCGGAGACTGCAGTGAGCCGAGATGTGCCATTGCATTCCAGCCTAGGCGACACAGCAAGACTCTGTCTCAAAAAAAAAAAAAAAACCAGAGCATTTCCAACACACCGTAAGTGCCCCCTCATGCTTCCTTCCAAGTACTATCTCTCCCCAAAGGTGACCATTATCCTGACTTCTAACAGCATAAATTAGTTTTGCTTGTTTTTGTGCTTTACATAAATGGAATAATACCATAACTCCTCTTTCATATCTGGCTTCTTTAGCTCAACATGTTTTTTTAAGATTGATCCACATTGTTGAGTATAGCTGTAGATCATTCATTCTCATTATCACGTAGCATTCCATTATGTAACTACACCACAGCTTATTTATCCATCCTACTGTTGACGGGCATTCAGATTATTTCCTTTGGTTATTATGAAAAGTTTTTATGAATATTCTTAAACACATTCTTGCTAAACATATGTTTACATTCTGTTCGGTATGTACAGTCATGCATTACTTAACAACAGTGATACATTCCAAGAAATTCGATGCTAGGTAATTTTGTCATTGTGCGAACGTGATAGAATGCACTTACGCAAACCTAAGTGGTGCAGCCTACTACACATGCAGGCTATGTGCTACAGCCTATTGCTCCTAGGCTACAAATCTATACCGCACGTTGCTGGACTGAACACTGTAGCCAATTACAATGCAATGATAAGTATTTGTGTATCTAAACATAGAAAAGGTACAGTAAGGCCAGGCACGGCCTGTACTCCTGAGTAGCTGTTGGGATTACACCTGCAATCCCAACACTTTGGGAGGCCAAGGCGGGAGGATTACTTGAGCCCAGGAGTTCAAGACCAGCCTAGGCAACATAGTGAGACCTCATCTCTACAAAAAAAAAAAAAAAAAAATCAAAAAATTAGCTAGGCATGGTGGCGCACACCTGTGGTCCCAGTTACTCTGGAGGCTGAGGTGAGAAGATTGCTTGAGCTTGGGAACTTGAGGCTGCAGTGAGCCTTGATCCCACCACTGCACTCCAGCCTGGTTAACAGAGTGAGATCTTGTCTCAGATAAATTTATTTATTTTAAAAAGGTACAGTAAAACCATGGAGGTACAGTAAAACCATGGTATAAAATATTTTCTTTTTAATTATACACCTGTATAGGGCACTTACTATGAAGGGAGTTTGCAGGACCGGAAGTTGCTCTGGGTGAGTGAGTGAGTGAGTGGTGAGTGACCGTAAAGGCTTAGGGCATGACTGTGCTCTACTCCAGATCATATAAACGCTGTATATTTAGGCTACACTAAATTAATTTTTAAATTTTTTCTTTTTTTTTTACTTTTTCTTTTGAGATAGAGTCTCACTCTGTCACCCAGGCTGGAGTGCAGTGGCACAACCTCACCTCACTGAAACCTCCGTCTCCTGGGTTAAAGTGATTCTCCTGCTTCAGCTTCCCAAGTAGCTGGGATTACAGGCGCCTGCCACCACCCCCGGCTAATTTTTGTAATTTTAGGATAGATGGGGTTTCACCATGCTGACCAGGCTGGTCTCAAACTCCTGAGCTCATGATTCATCTACCTCAGCCTCCCAAAGTGGTGGGATTACAGGTGTGAGCTGCAGCGCCCGGCCACTTTTTTTCTGTTCTCTTTTTTTTTCTTTTTTTTTGAGACAGAGTCCCCCTCTGTCGCCCAGGCTGGAATGCAGTGGCGCGATCTCGGCTCACTGCAAGCTCCGCCTCCCAAGTTCACGCCATTCTCCTGCCTCAGCCTCCCGAGTAGCTGGAACTACAGGCACCCACCACCACACCCGGCTAATTTTTTTGAATTTTTAGTAGAGATGGGGTTTCACCGTGTTAGCCAGGATGGTCTCGATCTCCTGACCTCGTGATCCGCCCACCTCGGCCTCCCAAAGTGCTGGGATTACAGGCATGAGCCACCGCACCCGGCCTTTTTTTCTGTTTAAAATTATTTTGGGGGCTGGGCGCAGTGGCTCACGCCTGTAATCCCAGCACTTTGGGAAGCCAAGGTGGGTTGATCACTTGAAGCCAGGAGTTCGAGACCAACCTGAACGATACAGTGAAACCCCATCTCTACTAAAAATACAAAAATTAGCCGGGCGTGGTGATGGGTGCCTGTAATCCCAGCTACTTGGGAGGCTGAGGCAGGAGAATCGCTTGAACCCGGGAGGCAGAGGTTGCAGTAAGCTGAGATCATGCCACTGCACTCCAGCCGGGGCAACAGAGAAAGACTCCAACTCAAAAATAAATAAATAAATAAACATTTTATATTTTAAACTTTTTTTGTTAAAAACAGACACAAACCTTCTTATCCGAGAAAACAAATGGCGGATGATGCCGGTGCAGCGCGGGGGCCCGGAGGCCCTGGGGGCACTGGGATGGGGAACAATGGTGGCTTCCGCGGAGGCTTCGGCAGTGGCATCGGGGGCCGGAGTCGCGGCCGTGGACGCGGCCGGGGCCAAGGCTGCGGAGCTCGCGGAGGCAAGGCCGAGGATAAGGAGTGGATGCCGTCACCAAGCTGGGCCGCTTGCTCAAGGCCATGAAGATCAAGTCCCTGAAGGAGATCTATATCTTCTCCCTGCCCATTAAGGAATCTGAGATCATTGACCTTTCCCTGGGGGCCTCTCTCAAGGACGAGGTTTTGAAGATTATGCCGGTCCAGAAGCAGACCCGTGCCGGCCAGCGCACCAGGTTCAAGGCGTTTGTTGCCATCGGGGACTACAATGGCCACGTCGGTCTGGGTATTAAGTGCTCCAAGGAGGTGGCCACTGCCATCTGCGGGGCCATCATCCTGGCCAAGCTCTCCATTGTCCCCATAAGCAGAGGCTGCTGGGAGAACAAGACTGGCAAGCCCCACACCGTCCCTTGCAAGATGACAGACCGCTGCGGCTCTGTGCCGGTGCACCTCATCCCTGCACCCAGGGGCACTGGCATTGTCTCAGCGCCTGTGCCCAAGAAGCTGCTCATGATGGCTGGTATCAATGACTGCTACACCTCAGCCCAGGGCTGCACTGCCACCCTGGGCAACTTCGCCAAGGCCACCTTTGATGCCATCTCTAAAACCTACAGCTACCTGACCCCCGACCTCTGGAAGGAGACTGTATTCACTAAGTCTCTCTATCAGGAATTCACTGACCACCTCGTCAAGACCCACACTAGAGTCTCGGTGCAGTGGACCCAGGCTCCAGCTGTGGCTACAACATAGGGTTTTTATACAAGAAAAATGAAGTGATTAAGCCTGAAAAAAAAAAAAGACACAAACATACACATTAGCCTAGGCCTACACAGGGTCCAGATCATCAATATCAGTGTCTCCCACCTTCCACCGTCACATCTCATCCCACCAGAAGGTCTCTAAGGGCAGTAACACATATGGGGCCGTCATCTCCTACAATATCAATGCGTTATTCTGGAATACTTCCTAAAGGACCTGCGAGAAGGTATCACTCTGAAAAAATACATGGTGGTTTGCTTGGTTTGTTTCTTTTTCCTTTTCCTTTGTTTTATTTTTGGACACAGATTCTCACTCTGTCACCCAGGCTGGAGTGGAGTGCAGTGGCACAATCACAGCTCACTGCAGCCTCAACCTTCTGGGCTCAAGTGATCCTCCCATCTCATCCTCCCAAGTAGCTGAAGCTACAGGCATGTGCCACCATGCTCAGCTAATCTTTTTACTTTGTTGTAGAGATGGGGTTTCACTATGTTGTCCAGGCTCTTGAACTCCTGGGCTCAAGCAATCCTCCTGCCTTGGCCTCCCAAAGTGCTGGGATCACAAGTGTGAGCCATTGCACCTGGACCTGTTTCTTTTTTCATCGTAGATTTTCTTGTCAGCAAATACTGCACCATAAACATTCCTCTCTATTAAGGAAAACCTTTCATTGTCGGGGGGTCCATGTTTCCAAACTTTTTTTTTTTTTTTTTTTTTTTGAGACGGAGTCTCGCTCTCTCGCCCAGGCTGGAGTGCAGTGGCATGATCTCGGCTCACTGCAAGCTCCACCTCCTGAGTTCACGCCATTCTCCTGCCTCAGCCTCCCAAGTAGCTGGGACTACAGGCGCCCACCACCACACCTGGCTAATTTTTTGTATTTTTAGTAGAGACGGGGTTTCACCGTGTCAGCCAGGATGGTCTCGATCTCCTGACCTCGTGATCCATCCACCTCATCCTCTCAAAGTGCTGGGATTACAGGCATGAGCCACCGCTCCCGGCCCATCTTTCCAAGCTTTTAAAGGATCTGGTTGAGGTCTGTAAAAGCTTTTGCTAAGCCCTTCACTGTGAATTTTCTTGGAAGTTCTTTTTCTTCTGCAGTTTCCTTTTCTCTTGTCTGTTCTTCAGCTATGTGTTCCTGTTCCAGTTCCAACAACCCCTCATTCATCGGTTCCTTAGGAACCACCTCTAGGACCTCCTCAATGGCATCCTCATCCACACCAAGGTTAAAGTTATTTGCCATCTCCAACCACAGCTATGTTGATTTTTTGCAACCTTCTTATCCTTGGCAAATCCTTTGAAGTCATGAACAAACCTATTCAGTTTCTTCTTCCAGATGCCATGCAGACATGCCTTGATGACATTGCCCCAGTCCCAAGAAAGGTCCTTGATGCAGTCGTAAACGTTGTAATCCTTCTAGAATTACATCAGTGTCTCCTTAGTGTCTCTCTCAGTTGCAGTAATAGCCTGGGTAAAGGTCTTCCTTGGGTAGCAGATATGGTTTGGCTGTGTCTCCACCCAAATCTCATCTTGAATTGTAGCTCCCATAATTCTCACGTGTTGTGGGAGGAATCCGGTGGGAGATAATTGAATCATGGGGTGGTTTCCCCCATACCGTTCTCATGGTAGTGAATAAATCTCACAAGATCTGATGGGGCTGGGCACGGTGGCTCATGCCTGTAATCCCAGCACTTTGGGAGGCCAAAGCAGCCAGATCACTTGAGGTGAGGAATTTGAGACCAGCCTGGCCAATATGGTGAAACCCCACCTCTACTAAAAATACAAAACTTAACCGGGTGTGGTGGTGCGCACCTGTAATCTCAGCTACTGGGGAGGCTGAGGCAGGAGAATTGCTTGAACCCAGGAGGTGGGGGTTGCAGTGAGCTGAGATCACACCACTGCACTCCAGCCTGGGCAACAGAGCGAGACGCGGACTCAAAAAAAAAAAAAAAAAGATCTGATGGTTTTATAGGGGAAAAGCCCTTTCTCTTGGTTCTCATTCTGTCTTGTCTCCCGCCAGGTAAAATGTGACTTTCATCTTCCACCATGATTGTGAGAACTCCCCAGCCACGTGGAACTGTGAGTCCATTAAACCTCTTTTTCTTTATAAACTACCCAGCCTGGGGTATGTCATTATCAGCAGCGTGAAAACGGACTAATACAGTAGTAGCTCTTAAAAGCTGCTACAGCTCCTTGATCCATTGGTTGGATCAAAGAGGTGGTATTTGAAAGCAGAAACACCACTCTGATACCGGGATGAAGATCACCAGTAAAAGGCAGACGTTTGGGAACATTATCAACAATAAGCAAAATCTTGGAAAGTATGTTCTTCCCCAAACAATACTTCTCCACTGTGCTGGCATAGCAATTCAGGAGTGCACCTTGGAAGCGGAGGTTCCATGACTTTTCATTGCTCCTGAAGTACACTGGCAGCATGTGCTTGGTTTTTTTTGTTTTAATTTTTTATTTTTTATTTATTTATTTTTTTTTTTATATGGAATCTCGCTCTATTGCCAGGCTGGAGTGCAGTGGCATGATCTCAGCTCACTGCAACCTCTACCTCCCGAGTTCAAGCCATTCTTCTGCCTAAGCCTCCCGAGCAGCTGGGATTACAGGCATGTACCACCATGCCCCGCTAATTTTTGTATTTTTAGTAGAGATGGGGTTTCACCATGTTGGCCAGGATGGTCTCAATCTCTTGACCTCGTGATCCGCCCACCTTGGCCTCCCAAAGTGCTGGGATTACAGGCGTGAGCCACCACGCCCAGCCTTTTGTTTGTTTTTTAAAAGACAGGATCCCACTCTGTCACCCAGGCTGGAATGCAGTGGCATGATCATTGCTCACTACAGCCTTGAACTCCTGGGCTCAAGAGATCCTCCTCCCTCGGCCTCCCAAAGTGCTGAGATTACAGGTGTGGGCCACCATGCCAGGCCTCAACATGCATTTATTGATAAGCTGAAAGGCCCTGAAGTTCTCCCTGTTCCAGGTCACAAAGGGTTTCAGTTTGTAACCTGCCACATTGCTCTCAAGCAAGACTGTTATTCTGTCCTTAAAAGCCGTGAAACCTGGCATTAACTTGGCCTCTTTATAAATGAAAGTACTTTCAGGCATCCATGTTCAGAATAGGAGGTTTCATCCATATTAAAGATTTGCTCCTGCAAGTAATTTTCCTCACAATCAGCTTATCTAGAGTTTCCAAAAATTCTTCAGCTGCCTTCACATCAGCACTTACAGACTCACCACTCACTTTCACATTATGTAATGAATAACGATTCTTGAATAGTTTAAGCCACCCAGAGCTAGCAGTAAATTCCACACTGTAGTTGGATCCAGTCCTTCTTTTCAACATCACAAACAAACTTTGCTTTGTCAGTGCTTGTCATGTGGCTGAGAGGGATATGCTTCTGTGTCTGGTCTTCAATCCAGGTCATTAGAAATGTAACCAGATCAGATTTAGGCCCTTCTCTCATTTTTGTTCATTTCATTGCCTTCAATGAAGCGGATCCTTTAACAGCTTCTATCATTTTGTTCTTGTTCTTCAAAATCATAGCTATGGTGGAATGGACCTGCCTGCCTGGCAAGCAATAGCCATTGCAGATTTGCCACCTTTGTAGTCCTTAATCACTTTTAATTTTGCTTCCAGGTCAACCACTCGATGTGGCCTCTTCCTGGCAACATTAGCCGTGAATTTTGTATTTATAGGGGCCATAAAACAAAATGACCCAACGTCAAATCAATGGTGCAATCAAGAGATGCAGTAAACACAAGATGTATGTAGGAGTGTACTCTAAAATAACAGGAAGGCTGAGGCAGGAGGATCACTTGAGCCCGGGAGCTCGAGGCTGCACAGAGCTATGATTGCACCACTGTGCTCCAGCCTGGGAGACAAAGCAAGACCTTGTCTCTAAAAATAAAAATCAGGCCAGGTGCAGTGGCTCACGCCTGTAACCCCAACACTTTGGGAGACCGAGATGGGCGGATCGCTTGCACTCAGGAGTTTGAGACCAGCCTGGGCAACATGGTGAAACCCCGTCTCTACCAAAAATACAAAAGTTAGCTAGGTGTGGTGCCGCATGCCTGTAATCCCACCTACTCAGGGGTGGGGAAGGCTGAGTCAGGAGAACCACTTGAACCTGGGAGGCAGAGGCTGCAGTGAGCCGAGATTGTACCACTGCACTCCACCCTGGGCAACAGAGTGAGACTCTGTTTCAAAAAAATAAATAAATAAAAAATAAAAATCAATTAATTAAAAGCATGTATTTTTCTAAAATAAATAAATAAAATAACAATTAAAACGCACAGCATAGGCTGGGTACAGTGGCTCATACCTATAATCCCAGCACTTTGGGAGGCCAAGGTAGGAGAATTGCTTGAAGCCCGGAGTACAAAACCAGCCTGGCAACAAAGTGAGACCCTTGTCTCTACAAAATAAAATAAAAATTCAAAGTAAGTACAGTATAGTAAATACATAACCCAGTAATAGTCGCTAATTATCATTACCAAGTATTACGTACTGTACATAATTGTGTGTGCTATATTTTATATGACTGGCAGCACAGATTTGTTTACATCAGCATTACCACAAACACATGAGTAATGCATTGCACTACAATGACTTTATTTTTCATTTATTTATTTATTTTTATTTTTATTTTTTTGAGATGAAGTTTCGCTCTGTCGCCCAGGCTGGAGTGCAGTGGCACAATCTCAGCTCACTGCAAGCTCCGCCTCCTGGGTTCACACCATTCTCCTGCCTCAACTTCCCGAGTAGCTGGGACTACAGGCGCCCACCACCACACCTGGCTAATTTTTTTGTATTTTCAGTAGAGATGGGGTTGCACCGTGTTAGCCAGGATGGTCTCGATCTCCTGACCTCATGATCCACCTGCCTCAGCCTCCCAAAGTGCTAGGATTACAGGCGTGAGCCACTGCACCCGGCTTATTTTTCTTTCTTTTTTTTTTTTTTTGAGATGGAGTTTTGCTCTTGTTGCCCAGGCTGGAGTGCAATGGCACAGTCTTGGCTCACTGCAACCTCTGCCTCCCGGGTTCAAGTGATTCTCCTGCCTCAGCCTCCCAAATACTTGGGATTACAGGCGCCTGCCACCATGTCCAGCTAATTTTTTTTTTTTTTTGTATTTTTAATAGAGACAGGGTTTCGCCATGTTGGTCAGACTGGTCTTGAACTCCTGACCTCAAGTGACCCACCCACCTCAGCCTCCCAAAGTGCTGGGATTACAGGTGTGAGCCACCACATACAGCCTACAATGACTTTAAGACTTCTACCACATCACCAGAAGATAGGAATTTTTCAGCTCAATTATAATGTTATGGGACCACTGTTTGTAAGTGAACTGTCATTGACAGAAACATTATGTGGCACATAACTGTATTTAGGAGTAGAATTCCTAGGTCATAGAGGATGTATATATTCATTACTAAAATATCTTTAATAGATATTGCCAGACAATTTTCCAACGTGGGTATACCAATTCACCCTCCCATCTGAGGCACCAGAGGTTTTTAACATTCTGCAGGTGATTCTAATATTCAGCCAAGGCTAAGAAGCACTGCCTTGCAGTGTTGATGATAACTTTAGGGAGGGCTCTGATGGAGAGCTATGAGAACCTGTAATGACGAGGCTTGATCCAGGAAGGAAGGAAGGAAGAGGTCCCAGAAGGGGTGCTTGGTTGATCTCTGAGGGTTCACTCTAAAAGGCCAGACGGTAAGGAAGGCTAGCACAGCTGCAGCACAGGGAGAGTGGTTGGAGACTGTGGGGCAGAGAGGCAGGCAGGGGCTAGAAAATACCAGGCTTTCAAGGCCATGTCAAGGATTATCTTTTTATCCTTTTATTTGGAAATAAGGCCGGGTGTTGTGGCTCATGCTTGTAATCCCAGCACTTTGGGAGGCTGAGGCGGGTGGATCACGAGGTCAGGAGATCGAGACCAGCCTGGTCAATATGGTGAAACCCCATCTCTACTAAAAATACAAAAAAAAAAAAAAGGCCAGGCACAGTGGCTCACACCTGTAATCCCAGCACGCTGGGAGCCCGAGGCAGGTGGATCACCTGAGGTCAGGAGTTCGAGACCAGCCTGGCCAACATAGTGAAACCCTGTCACTACTAAAAATACAAAAAAAAAAAAAAAATAGCTGGGCATCGTGGCACATGCCTGTAATCCCAGCTTCTCAGGAGGCTGAGGCAGGAGAATCACTGGAACCTGGGAGGCTGAGGTTATAGCTAACTGAGATCACATCACTGCATTCCAGCCTGGGCAACAGAGTAAAATGTGAGTTTCATCTTCCACAATGGAAGATGAAAAATAAATAAATAAAACTATCTCAAAAAATAAATAAAATAAAATCATTTTGAAATAATTTTAAGCTGATAGAAAAGTTGCAAAAATAATAGAGAAGTCCCTTGTGTATCCTTTACACAAGTTCCCCTCATGTTAAAAACTCACATAAGTATCATAAAATGATCAGAACCAGGAAAACAGCAGTACAGTATCACTAACCAAACTACAGTGCTTAGTCACATTTCACCAGTTTTCCCCCAATGTCTTTTTCCTGTTTCAGGATCCAATCCAGGGTCCACATTGCATTTAGTTGCTGTCTCCCTCGTCTCCTCCAATCTATGTCAGTTCTTCAGGTTTGCCTCATGGCCTTGACACATTTTAAGAGTACTGGTCAGTTAGGATGTAGAGTGTCTTGCAATTTTGGCTTGTCTGACATTTTCTCAGGGTTAGATCAAGGTTGTAAATTTCTGGCAAGAATTCCACAGAAGTTATCTTAGTACTGGCACTGTTAACCTCAATCACTTCATTTCCTTGGTGTCTGCCAGGTTTTCCCATTGCAAAGTGACTGTTTTGACATTTTTACTAAGAAAAAAGGGATGGCGTTGAAGGATTTGAAGCAAGGGAAGTAACTTTAGATTTATGTTTTAAAAATCCCGCGCTGGTGGCAACATGAAGAACAGATTAGAAGGGGCTAGAATGTATGTGGGGAAGATTGGTTGGGCGTATACTGCAGTCTGATATGTGATGGTGGAAGTGGAGAGAAGTAGGCAGATTCTAGAGATGTTTAGAAATATCCTGGCCAGGTGTGGTGGCTCATGCCTGTAATCTCAGCACTTTGGGAGGCTGGGAGGCAGGAGGATTACTTGGGCCCAAGAGTTCAAGACCAGCCTGGGCAACATATTGAGACTCCCGTCTCTACAAAAAAAAAAAAAGTTTTTAATTAGCTGAGCATGGCTGGGCACAGTAGCTCACCCTTGTAATCCCAGCACTTTGGGAGGCCGAAGTGGGTGGATCACCTAAGGTCAAGAGTTCAAGATCAGCCTGGCCAACATGGTGAAACCCCATCTCTACTAAAAATACAAAAAATTAGCTGGGCGTGGTGGCGGGTGCTTGTAATCCCAGCTACTCAGGAGGCTGAGGCAGGAGAATCGCTTGAACCCAGGAGGCAGAGGTTGCAGTGAGCCGAGATCACAACATTGCATTCCAGCCTATGTAACAACAGCAAAACTGTGTCTCAAAAAAAAAAAATTAGCTGGGAGTAATGGTGAACACCTGTGGTCCCAGCTACTCAGGAGGCTGAGGTAGGAGGATCGCTTGAGCCCAGGAGGTCGAGGCTGCTCCAGCCAGGGAGACAGAGTGAGACTCTGTCTCATAAAAAGGAGTATCTAGAGATATTTAAAACCATAGGGCAGGTTAATGAGACCATGCAGAGATTCTGATTTAATTGGTGTGCAGTCGGGCCTGGGCAGAGCCAATCTTAAAAGCACCCATGTAATTGTAATGTTGAGCCGCAGGTGAGGTCTGTGTCCAGCCCACAGCTTGCTCTACACAGGCCTCAGATGAAAGCTACTCAGAAGAACAACACTCAAGCTGCTCAGGTCTGTTTGGACACATGGGGATGAAGATGGAGCTGGGGGGGCATCCCCTGCCATCTTCTCACAACCCAGAGAAAGCTGACTGGTGGGGAGGGTAGAGGAAGCTAATGAGAGCAGAGGACCCAGGGAGCACTTACTAGCACACCACTGACTCCCCAGGTAGGGTTGCCAGAGAAAATACAATCAAATCAGAATTTTTGGTAAATAATGAATAATTTTTAGTATGTCTCAAATATTGCATGGAGCATATACATACTAAAAAATTATTATTTGTTGGCCAGGCACAGTGGCTCACGCCTATAATCCCAGCATTCTGGGAGGCCGAGGTGGGTGGATCAATTGAGGTCAGGGGTTCGAGACCAGCCTGACAAAAATGGTGAAACCCCGTCTCTAATAAAAAAAATAAATAAAAAAAAAATTAGCCAGGCATAGTGGCACACTAATCCCAGCTACTCGGGAGGTTGAGGGAAGAGAGTCACTTGAATCTGGGAGGTGGAAGTTGCAGTGAGCCGAGATCACACCATTGCAATCCAGCCTGGGCAACAAGGGCAAAAAATATATCTATTATTTGTTGATCTGAAATTAAAATTTAATTGCGTAGTCCCTATTTTTATTTGCCGAATGTGGCAATTCTATCCCCAAGACAAGGATCCAATGGGTTCGGCTCATTCCCATCCAGTTCAGCAGCTTCCAGACCAAAGGGACTATTCTCTGCCTCTGCCTCCTCCTCTCGCTCCTGTCTCATCCCTAGTCTGGCCTGACCAAGAGCAGGTCAGTACAGGCACCGGCTCCCTCTCACCCTGCTGACCGGCCTTTACATGAGAACAGACACAGGGGTTTCTGTCACAGGACCTAGGCGGAAACACTCAGCCTTCCGCTCCAAACACACTCACTTCTTCATTCAGTGACTATTTTTTGAGCACCTACTATGTGCCAGGCGCTGTTCTAGCCAGAGGGATAAGCAGTAGACAAGTCAGACGAGTTCCTGTTCTCTGGGGGCCTCTGTTCCTGCATTTCAGGTTGAGGAAAAGGACAATAACCCAGAAAACGACTGTTGAAATGGTGATGACAACAGTGAAAGGACGTGGCAACAGTGACTGAGACCAACTTGAGATGGGGTCTGGGAGGGCCTCACTGAGCGGGTGACGTTACTTTGAGTTGAAGGACTGGCAAGACCCAGCTACATAAACACATAGGGAGGAGTCTTCTATCGGGTAGGGCTCCAGCACGTCTGGCCGATTGGTGGGACTTGCCAATTCCTGTGGTGTGAATACTCCATCCTAGCCAATTCCGAGCTAGGCACATGACATGGCAATTTTAAGAAAGCTAATATTTATGTATTTATTTATTTACTTTTTTGAGATAGGGTCTCACTCTCACTTTGTCACCCAGGCTGGAGTGCAGTGGCACAATCACAGCTCACTACAGCCTCGACCTCCCAGGCTCAGGTATTCCTTCCACCTCAGCCTCCTGAGTAGCTGGTACTACAGGTGCACACCACCACACCCGGCTAACTTTTTTCGTAAAGATGGGGTTTTACCATGTTGCTCAGGCTGGTCTCAAACTCCTGGACTCAAGCCATACTCCCACCTTGGCCTCCCAAAGTGTTGGAACTACAGATGTGAGCCACCGCGCTTGGCCAGAAGCTAACATTTTAAATGGTTTTGGACCTTAGAGTGTGAGGGCCAAATGGCTGTATCAAGATCCTACTCGCATGGGGTTTTTCCAGGCTATAGGCCTCAGTTTCTTCTCCCCATCCATCTTCTCTGCTCATTCACTGCAACTTTTGATTTTTAGACAGGGTCTCACTCTGTCGCCCAGGCTGTAGAGCAGTGGTACGATCTCCAGGGTTCAAGTGATCTTCCCACCTCAGCCCCCTACCTCCCGGTAAGTAGCTGGGACTATAGGAGTGCACCACCATACCCAGGTAAGCACTGAGACTTTTGAGAGGCCCTTTCGGAAATCCAGGAAAGGCAGTCTTGCTCCTTTTTGCCCCACAACAACATTGCCTCCCTGTTTCCTCTCTTAACATATTCCTGGCTGAAGAAAAACTGACTTTAAAAACCAAAGTCTTAGGCCGGGCGAGGCGGCTCACGCCTGTAATCCCAGAACTTTGGGAGGCCGAGGCGGGTGGATCACGAGGTCATGAGATCGAAACCATCCTGGCTAACACGGTGAAACCCCGTCTCTACTAAAAATACAAAAAAATTAGCCGGGCGTGGCTGCGTGTGCCTGTAGTCCCAGCTGCTGGGGAGGCTGAGGCAGCAGAATGGCGTGAATCCGGCAGGTGGAGCTTGCAGTGAGCCAAGATCGTGCCACTGCACTCCAGCCTGGATGACAGAGCAAGACTCTGTCTCAATAAATAAATAAATAAATAAATAAATAAATAAATAAATAAATAAACAAACAAACCAAAGTCTTGCCAGGCAAGGTGGCTCATGCCTGTAATCCCAGCACTTTGGGAGGCCGAGGTGGGCAGATCACCCGAGGTCGGGAGATCAAGACCATCCTGGCTAACACGGTGAAACCCCGTCTCTACTAAAAATACAAAAAATTAGCCAGGCGTGGTGGTGTGCGCCTGTAGTCCCAGCTACTCGGGAGGCTGAGGCAGGAGAATCGCTTGAACCCAGGAGGCGGAGGTTGCAGTGAGCCGAGATTGTGCCACTGTACTCCAGCCTGGACGACAGTGCAAGACTCTGTCTAAAAAACAAGCAAAACAAAGAAAACACAAGTCAAAGATACTTGGCTCCCTCCTATTTCCATGAAGATGAGCTCTGAGGATCAGTGGATCCTGCAGCCATCAGCCCCTGTCCTGGATACTGCCATGCAACTCAGTTATGCCTCCCTTGTTGTGTCCCAATTCTATTTTTTTCTTTTGTGTGTGTGTGTGTTTGTGTGTGTGTGTGTTTTGTTTGTTTGGTATTAGATTCGAGGTTTTTTTGTTTGTTTGGAGACAGAGTGTCGCTCTGTCACCAGGCTGGAGTGCAGTGGCACAATCTCAGCTCACTGCAGCCTCCTCCTACAAGGTTCAAGTGATTCTTCTGCCTCAGCCTCCTGAGCTGGGACTACAGGCATGCACCACCATGCCTGGCTAATTTTTGTGCTTTTAGTAGAGACGGGGTTTTACCATCTTAGCCAGGCTGGTCTCGAACTCCTGACCTTGTGATCTGCCTGCCTCGGCCTCCCAAAGTGCTGGGATTACAGGTTATAGGTACAAGCCACTTCACCCAGCTTTTTTTCTTTTCTTTTTTTTTTTTTTTTTTTGAGACAGGGTCTCACTCTCCCAGGCTGGAGTGCAGTGGTACAATCTCAGCTCACTGCAACCTCTGCCTCCTGGGTTCAAACAATTCTCCTGCCTCAGCCTCCCAAGTAGCTGGGTTTACAGGCATGCACCACCACGCCTGGCTCATTTTTTGTATTTTTAGTAGAGACTGGGTTTCACCATGTGTGCCAGGCTGGTCTCGAACTCCTGACCTCAAATGATCCACCCACTTCAGCCTCCCAAAGTGCTGGGATTACAGGCGTGAGCCACCGCACCTGGCCTTTTTTTTTCTCTTATTTTTAGACACAAGATCTCACTCTGTAACTCAGGCTAGAGTGCAGTGGCTCAGTCATAGCTCACTGGCAGCCTTGAACCCCTGGCTTCAAGCGATCTTCCTGCCTCAGCCTCCCAAAGCACTAAGATTACAAGCATGTGCCATTGTGCCCCAATTTTGTTTTTGGTTTTGTTGTTGTTGTTGTTGTTTTGAGATGGAGTCTCGCTCTGTTGCCCAGGCTGGAGTGCAGTGGTGCAATCTCAGCTCACTGCAACCTCTGCCTCCCAGGTTCAAGCAATTCTCCTGACTCAGCCTCCTGAGTAGCTGGGATTTCAGGCACCTGCCACCATGCCCGGCTAATTTTTGTATGTTTAGTAGAGACGGGGGTCTCACCATGTTGGCCAGGCTGGTCTCAAACTTCTGACCTCAGGTGATCCGGCTGCCTCAGCCTCCCAACGTGTTGGGATTACAGGCGTGAGCCACCATGCCCGGCCCACCCTCCCAATTCTAACTTAAGTGACAACAGATAACTCTGCCCAGTTAAGGAGCCTAGAAACTGATCTTGACTGTCAATACCTGCAGTCTGCCATACTGCAGAGGCAACTGTCTGAGCCAGGATGAGCTGCAGCGGGGGAGGGAGGCAGGTGAAGGAAAGGGAACCAAAAGCCACTCAGCCTGGATGCTCCCCAAATACCTCCCTGACCCCACAGCCTGCACTTCTCCTCCTCCTGGCCCTGGGGCTTGCAGTATGGAGTGGGGTGAGGCATTGGCGAGGACCCCCTGTGACCTTTCTGCCTTCTGCCAACCCAGTGGTCTCCGCAGGCAGAGGGTCATACATGAGCAGCTGCTTGCCCAGTCTCCTCCTGGCTGCCCTCCTATCTCTGTTCCCCCAGCTCTCTGCCTGGCAGGGAAGACCTCCTAGAGTTAAGTGGATTTCATGCTATTTTCAAAGTCATTTTTAATGGAAAAATTTTTTTTTTGACGGAGTCTCATTCTGTTGCCCAGGCTGGAGTGCAGTGGCACGACCTCAGCTCACTGCAACCTCCGCCTCCTGGGTTCAAGTGATTCTCCTACCTCAGCCTCCAGAGTAGCTGGGATTACAGATGCCCGCTATCACACCTGGCTGATTTTTGTATTTTCAGTAGAGATGGGGTTTCGCCATATTGGCCAGGCTGGTCTCGAACTCCTGACCTAGTGATCCACTCGCCTTGGCTTCCCAAAGTGCTGGGATTACAGGCGAGAGCCACCGCTCCTGGCCACATGGAAAAATTTTTATACCATTAAACCTACTTTCTGCTGCTTCTTATCTAAAACCTTCCCTCCTCCTCTTCCATGAGATAAACTAGCAATGGGAACACTTACCAACCCACTAGTGACACCCTACAGGTAACCTGGGTGTCACTGGCTGGGGTTGGGGAGAAGCAATCACACTAGGAGAAGGTTCTGGTGAGATATCAGGCCAATGAAAGCGGACAGCCAGGGGCAGGAGCAGGCTTCCCTGCACACACTCTCAGGGCTTTGCTTCTCAGCCTTCCAGCCCCATCCTGACAACTGCCTGGTGGCACGAGCCCTGTCCCCTAGCTTCCCATCCTCCTGTGACAGCCACCAAACTGGAATGGGTCTTTTACAACAAGTGACTAGGGTCACCTGAGGGGCAACTGAGGCATTTCCCAGAGACTCCCAGGCAGCCGACACTCAAAGAGCTGGCTCATTCTCGGAAAATAGGCCACAAGGTACCAGACACAGATCAGCCAGCATAGGCTTCCTGTGAGCCTGCTGCACTTTTTGCCCATTCCATATGGAAGCCTCTATCACACTGTGTCACACCACGGCTGCTGCAAACTGAGGGCTTTGTGAGGACAAGAGTTGAATACAAACGGCTCTGTCTCCTCAGCTCACAGCTCAGCCTCTCAGAGGCTGCTAGATAGGAACCTATTATATCTGCCAGATCCCTTGTGAGCAGGGCCGACACAGCCCTTGGCCAAAACTTGTCCAGTAGCCTCAGGTGTGACCTGGCATGAAAGCTGTGCTCAGGGGAAAGGATGGGACAGGGATGGGCTGGACCAATGGAATTCTCTTCCCTGTGATTACCCAGCAGTGTGCAACCTTGTGAAACCCGCCATTTTTCTAGGGTCCTGCTGGGATAGAGGTATGGGAGAGAGAACGTTCTAGGACAACTCTTAGCTTTCTGGACAGTTTAACTAAGAACCTGATGCTGCAGAAACTGGGGTGAAAGATACTCAGAGAAGTGTGTCCCAGGGTAATGGGGGGGATGAGCCCAGATTGGCAGGCAGTGAGAATGAGGCAATGGTGGGACATCCAGGAGTGGCAGTTGGGATATGAGGTGGCTGCTCAGGACCCAGAAGCCACCAGCAATGCCCTGGGGCCTGAGTGCTGGACTCCAGAGAAACATTTGGGGAGCAGCTTATGTTGATCTCCACCAAAATCCTCTTCCTCCAGGGGATAAATGTGGAGATAATTTTTTTAAATTATTCAATGTTTCACTGGATTTTTTTGTGGGGGGAGGTGAAGCTTTTATATTTAAGATTGTTAAATCTTAACATCATCTGAGGTCAGGAGTTCAAGACCAGCCTGACCAACATGGTGAAAACCTGTCTCTACTAAAAACACAAAATTAGCCAGCCATGGTGGTGCACACCTGTAATCCCAGCTACTCAGGAGGCTGAGGCAGGAGAATTGCTTGAACCCAGGAGGCGGAGGTTGCAGTGAGCCAAGACTGTGCCACTGCACTCCAGCCTGGGCAACAAGAGCAAAACTCCGTCTCAAAAAAAAAAAAAAAAAAAAAATTGTTAGAAGAACTTGTTACATTACAAATACACAGAATGTTGGAAGAAGATGCAAAGTTAACCTCACATTTTTTTCTTCCTTTATTCACACATTGTTCATTTCACTGGACTTTCTACACTGCATCAGAGATAGAAAATGGTGAAGAAAAATACAAATAAGTTCAACAGATGTTGATTTCAAAAATCAGCATGAAGTATTCTTAGCAAATACGGTCACCACTTGGTATCCCTGCCTTTCTAAGCAGATTAGAAAGGAAACAGCTTTTCTACACAAGAATAACTTATCCATACTTATGAAACCTTTTCCAAATCTATAAATATTGATATACCATTTTTTATCTTAATTTCTTCCAACAGAAGCTAAAATTTCTGCCTGTGAGTTCAGGGCTCAGGGCTAGCCTCTGGCAAAAACACCTTTCAGTCCTGGGACAGGAGTGTCTTTAACCTAGAGGGTAACCTTGAACGACAGTATCCATGGGTATTGACTTCCTCCTAGAAAACAGGAATCAGACTCCCAGAGGTTCTGAAACTGGGCTTATCTAACACTATGTGCAGGATACTATCCTATAGGCATTACTGTAATCCCATCTTACAGATGGAAAAAGTGAGGCACAGCAAGGTTATGTAACTCATCCGTGTGCATATACTACCTCTCCAATGTCTCAGGTTGGAGTCAGCAGGTGTGAATGGGGCACTGGAATTCACGCTCCTAATAAGTTCCCACGGAGACTGCGATCCAGGTGGTTTTTAGACCCCGCTGTGAGATACTCCTCCAGGCATCAGAGGATTTGCTCTGGTTTGAGAGTTCAGGCAAAAGAGCAAATAGGAGAATCCAGAACCCCGATAAGGGTAGTTCTCAGGAAGTTGCTACCACCCTGGATGGCCAAAGCAGTAAGGCGGATACACCGGGGGTTGGGAAATCAGAGCCGCGTGCGGATTGGGAACCCAGAGAGAGACTTTGTCTGTTGCTGCACCCGATTGCCATCTGCTGGCTATATGTGGCTATTGCAGGCCAGATGGTAACATTCCCAGTCCAACCCCTCCATCAAATGTCAAATGGTTACATTGGTGGTGGGGCTTCAGTGAAGACTCCAGGGCTCAGTACAGAGCCTCAACAATGCCACTTGTGGGAGGGAGAAAAGAATGCAGGGGGAAAGGTCAGTCTGAATGAGGGTTGGTGGGGAGAAATAAGCCGGAGAGGAAAGTAGGGGCCAGAATCAGGTGGGCCTCAAAACAGTTAGGATTTTGTACTGAGGGCCAACGGGAAATCCAGCAGTGAGTCAGACTTTCAGTAGGATCATTCTGGCCTGTCAGGAAGAACTAGGATAGTTTGAGTGGAGGCAGAGTCAGTTTGAAAACTGTTCCAGTATCAAAGATGAGGAACAGATGCTGGTATAGATTAGGGGGTAGCTGTGGGGATGCAGAAAAATGGTCCACAAGAAATATGGAGGAAGGGGGATTATGTCTGATAAAACCAAATCCCAAAGGAAAACAGCAGGAAAGGGATAGAGACCCCATTTCACTCATTCCTTCTTTCAACACATTTTAGCACCTATGATGCCAGGAACGAATCTACCTGCTGGGAACACAGTGGTGTGAGCAAGTCAGGGAAAAGCCCAGATTTTCATGGAGCTTACATTCTGCTGGGGAGGTAGGCAATAATCAAATAAACAAATAAACAAGAGAAACATCAGATGGGAGTAAACACCATGAGAATGAAAACTGTGGTGTGATGGTGACCCTCAGAGATCTGAATGGTAAGAAGTCTGCCATGTAAATATGACAGGGAAAAGCATTCTAGACCATAGCAGCAAATGCAAGGGCCTTTAGAGCAGAAACAAGTGTTCAAGACCAGAGGCAGCTGGTATGGTTGTAGCGTGGTGGGTTAGGGCCAGCATGGAGCAAGAGGCAGAGTCAGGGACAGATTGTCTGGGCTTTGTAAAGCAGCACAAGGAATTCTAGGAGTAAAGGGAAGCCACGGACACATTTTAGGCAGGAAAGTGAAAATCCGATTTCATAAACTCTCTCACTGCTCTATGGAGAATGGGTTGTATAGGGGCCAGGCATGGTGGCTCACGTCTATAATCCCAGCACTTTGAGAGGCCGAGGCAGGCAGATCTCTTGAAGTCAGGAGTTCGAGACCAGTCTGGCCAACATAGTGAAACCCCGTCTCTACTAAAAAGGCTAAAGTTAGCCAGGCATGGTGGCACGTGCCTATAATACCACCTACATGGGTGGCTGAGGCATGAGAATTGCTTGAACTCAGGAGGTGGAGGATGCAGTGAGCTGAGATTGTGCCACTGCATTCCACCCTAGGTGAGAGAGAGAGACTCTGACTCAAAAAATAAATAAATAAAAATAATGGGTTGCAGCACTTTGGGACGCCGAGGTGGGTGAATCACGAGATCAGGAGTTCAAGACCAGCCTGGCCAAGGTGGTGAAACCCCATCTCTACCAAAAATACAAAAATTAGCCAGGCATCATGGCAGGTGCCTGTAATCCCAGCTACTTGGGAGGCTGAGGCAAAGAATTGCTTGAACCTGGGAGGTGGAGGTTGCAGTGAGCCAAGATCACATCACTGCACCCCAGCCTGGGCAACAGAGCGAGACTCTGTCTCAAAAAATCATAAAAATAATGGGTTGTATAGGGGTATAGGGGCAAGAGTGGAAGCAGGGAAGCAGGGAGATGGGGTAGGAAGCTGTGATGTGGGCCAGGAGAGACAATGGCAGTAGAGTGGAGAGAGGGTTCTGGGTATCATTTGGAGTCAGCGTCAATAGGACTTGCTGATGGATTGGATGTGGGGTGAATAAAAAGCAGAGGCAAGAATGACTCCCCAGGAGCACAAGGATGCCAGCCACTGCAGGAAACCCAGACAGAAGAAGGGCCTACGGGAACTTCTTCCCTAATGATTCCTCCCTCACCAAACAGGCAAAGGCCTGGGCTTAAAGCTCCCATTACATCCCTGCTGCTGCTCATTACAGCAGGCTGCCCTCACCCTTGTCCCACCAGACAGAGGGAGCATGCAAATTAGCCACTCTAAGGCTGTGTCCTTAGAGTGTCCCAGTCACAGGACTGGGCCTACCTGCCCGAGCACATTGCAAGGACTAAATAGAATGTCTGGCACAGACTTGACTCCAGGTGCTGGCCTGGCCTCCATGGCCCAGGGCCAGCCTCACAGTGGGCCCCTG
Organism: Homo sapiens; assembly: GCF_000001405.40. Taxonomy (NCBI): domain Eukaryota; kingdom Metazoa; phylum Chordata; class Mammalia; order Primates; family Hominidae; genus Homo; species Homo sapiens. The sequence goes on along the minus strand of NC_000014.9, from coordinate 74,360,302 downwards.
TCGAGCCAACCTGTGGTGGCAGCAACCCCTTCCCCACCTGGGAACGCCAGGTTTCTCCCATGGGAGGGAGGGCATTTCCAGGTAGCCAGAGCCCCACCCTTCAGCTGGAAAAGCACCCAAGGTCACTTCTAGATCCAATTCAGAGTCCCCAGAATAACTCTTTTCATCCCCCAAGCTCTAGACCTGAGTGCATCCCATCGAGAAAGAGAAGGTCACTCTTGTCCCCTTAAGCCAAAGGGGAGCATGGGAATGGGCAATCACATCCTGGCAAAACAAATACCAGAGACCAAGCACTGTGGGCACTGCATCACTTTATTTCTTTGGTTTTCAAACGTTACTCTCGAACAAGGCAAATTCAGTCTCCCACCTGCCTGGCCGCTTTGTGATCTCTCACTGAAGATGGGCCTCCAGCTCCGAGAAGACGCTCAGCAGAAAGGTGGAATCCCCAACTGACAGCCAGGCTGGCCGAGGACTGCAGGGTCCCAGCAGGTGGATCAAGCACCCACAAGCAGAGACTCTGGGCCATAATCTGCAAACAGAGCCTGCATCTCCCAGCCTTGCCCCACCTGGTCCCACACTCCTTGCAGGGGACAGGCCAGCCCCTCAGTGATCTCCAGTGCCTCAAGATCTCCGGTGCCTCAGTGCCATCCTTTAGAGGCCAGCTGTGGTTCTTTCTATACATCCCTGCTGCTGCTCCTGCTGACCTGGCACCTTCTCCCTTGGGGATGCCAGGCACAAGCTGCTGATCAGCTCTACATTTGATTTTCTTTCTTTTTTTTTTTCTAAGAGATGAGGTCTCACTACATTGCCCAGGGTGGTCTCTAACTCCTAGCCTCAAGTGATCCTCCTGCCTTGGCCTCCCAAAGCGCTAGGATTACAGGCATAAGCCACCACACCTGGCCCCCATATTCGAGCCTAATGTTCCTTTGGGAAACAACTGAGTAAAGAGGATGCCAACCCCCAAAAGAAACTGAAGATAACGTTCTGCCCAGTGGGACCGATGATCATGCTATAACACTCCTTTTGTCTCCAGGAAAAGCTGAAAGCAGCTCTAGCTAACCAACCCCCCTCTAAACCCCCTGACATACATACGGCTTCCAACTCCAGCAAGGGGGCCAACCAACCCACTCAAATCAAAACCAAAAACTAAATCATAACAGTAAAAATATGACCAGCAAACAACGAAAGAGGATATCTCTGGTCCCACAGTTTCCTACGGGAGACCAGATGGCTGATTTCTGGCATTCTCTGTCCTGGAGCCAGAAAATAACACAAATATACCCTTGGACTTAGGGTAGACACTGTGGGACCCAGAGCAAAGGACATCCTGGCCAAGCCTGGGGTCAGCTCAGGTCCCTGACCCTCTCCAAACTGGTCCCCCTTCTTCCCAGCCCCTTTTGTACCTCCCTGTCAGCCATCTACCAGGGTCAGGCCGTCATAGAGGGCTCGCTTCCACATGTAGTATGTGGAGCGGGCAGTGAGGGGAAAGAGGGCACTGAACTCCTTGTAGGAGGGAAAGCTCTTGGACTGGAAGCGCTTCTGCAAGAACAGCTTGGCCTGGGCCTTGAACTTCGTGGTAGCGATCATGTCCATCACCAGCATCCGGCCATCCCTGCCACCCGCTGCTGCCACCACAGGTTGGCTCAGCAAGGGCCCACTGTGGGGCTGGCCCTGGGCTGTGGCCCCCTCCTGCAGGGCCCCCTCTCTGGAAGGCCCTCCCTCTACATCTTCTGAAGAAGCCCCCACAGGTGGGGCCATCACAGCTGTCACATCCCTGCCAGCCTCCTTCTCCTGCTTCTCCTCAGCCTCCTGCCCCCCTTTGCCCAAGGTGGGGACCGGCACCTGAAGTTTGGACAGGCCTCTGGGCCAACCCCGAGCAAGACTCTTCCAGACCCAAAAGGCAGAAGGTGACAGGCTGGGGTAGCGGAGGCGGAAGCGGCAGAAAGGGAGATGCCCACTCAGCACCTGCCTGCGGGCAGCCCTGCGCAGACGCCTCTGCCAACGGGACAGGGGCATCCTTAGTGGCAGGAGCTCCCCGGGGGCGGGAGGGTCCTCACCTGTGGCATTCCCTGCCCCCTCTTCCGCCTCACTCTTCCAAGGAATTACAGCCCCTTCCCCAACAGATGCTAGCTGGGGAGTCCCAGCAGCAGAGAGGGCTGGTGCCGGCTTGAAGCTGGGGTTCCTCCGGAGGGCCTTTCGCCGCCAATTATAATAAGTGGACCGTGAGATGCCAGGGAACCTGCGTTTGAAGCAGCGATAGGGTACCAGTGTGTTCAGGGAGATGCAATGCTCCAGGTACAACTTGGCCCGCTGCATTAAGACCATTCCAGGGCTTGACACCGCCAGTGCGGAGCACTCCAGCTCCTCCTCAGCCACCTGCTCCTCCGGCAGCTTCTCTAGCTCCTCCATGCCCAGCACCTCCCTGGGGGGCAAGGCCGGGCAGGTGCCAGAGCCCAGCAGCTCATGCTTCCAGGCATAGTAGGTTGAGCGGGAGATCTCCGGGAACCGCTGGAGGAACTGCTGAAGTGGCACGACGCCCCCCCGGTGGAAGCTGTCCTGCAGGAAGTGCTTGGCGGAGAAGCGGGCAGCAACCTTCTGCCGGTGCTCCTGGGACTGCCGCCGCCAGCGGTAGAAGGTGCTTTTGGTGACGCTGTAGCGCTCACAGAGGTGAGAGTAGCTGAGGCCAGGTTCACGGTTGAGCAGCTCCAGGGTCTTGGCCGGCGATGAGAGTGGGGCCAGGGCTGGAAGAGCTGGGGCCACGCCAGGGGCACCTTCAGCCTCCACCTCTTCCAGCCCCACCACAGGGGCAAAGTACTGGTGGCGGAAGAAGTGGCTGGTGAGGGGCTGGCCAGCCCACATGATGTGCAGCGTGGAGGGCACGTGGTCGCAGCGGCGGGGCCGGATGACACGGTTGAAGTAGGGCCGGATCTTGAGGTTGCGCATGGGGTAGATGGAGTAGATGTTCCGCTGGAGGACAGAGGCGAGAGCATACAAGTGCCACACGTTGGAGAAGCTGCTGGGGAAACAGGAGGCCTTGACGTCGGCATCGAAGATGGCCTCCAGCGTGGCGGGGGGCAAGCTGGTCATCTCAGGGGACTCCTCAGAGCATAGGGAGTAGCGCACGGCCTGCAGCATCACTTTGGAGTCGATCATGCCCTGGAGGTAGTAGTGTCTGTGCAGCAGCATCTCTACCACGGTGCGGGCCCGCAGCTCCAGGCTGAGGCCTGCGTCACCCCACAGCAGCATGCTGGCCGCCTCGAACAGCAGGCTGCCCTCCCCCTTGCACACCAGCGGCAGCATGTTCCGTGGAGCATCTTCTGGATACAGGCTCAGGGCCACCGAGTCCACTTCCAGCACCTGGAGGCCAGGGCCTCCCTCCCGGCAGGTGGGGAGAGTGAAGGAAGACAGGACCTGCTTGGCCTCCAAGGAAGCACCTATGAGACCCTCCAGGCCTTCGCACTCCACTGCTTCCTGCAGCTCCTGCAGCACCTTCTGCACCAGCTGGTTCCGAGAAGTCATCCTGCCAGGGCAAAAGATAAAGGGGCAGTAGTCAGGTCGAAGTGCCCAGATGATGACTAGCAAAGGTGCCCTGTCCACTCCTGCACTTTCTCCCAAAAGGTAATGTCTATCTGCTCCCGTCCTCCCACAACAGACGGGATTGGTTCATCACTGAATGGTACTGAGGAAAAGTGTGGTCTCTAGAACCTGGCTTTGAATCCTGGCTCTGACATAAGCTTGGTCACCTTGGATCACTTAACCTCTCTATGCTTCTGTTCATTTTCTATAAAATGGGAATGGTGTGTTAAAATCTGCTTTATAGGCCAGGCACGGTGGCTTACACCTGTAATCCTAGCACTTTGGGAGGCCAAGGCAGATGAATCACTTGAGGGCAGGAGTTCGAGACCAGCCTGGCCAACATGGTGAAACCCCATCTCTACTAAAAATACAAAAATTTGCCAGGCATAGTGGCAAGAGCCTGTAATCCCAGCTACTCTGGAGGCTAGGGCAGAAGAATCACTTAAACCCAGGAGGCAGAGGTTGCAGTGAGCTGAGTTAGAGCCACTGCACTCCAGCCTGGGCAACAAAGTGAGACTGTCTCCAAAAGGGAAAAAAAAATTAATAAAATATGCTTGAGTTGTTCTGGGCATAAATGAGACAATAAAGAGATGTTGGCTGGGCGTGGTGGCTCATGCCTGTAATCTTAGCACTTTGGGAGGCTGAGGTGGGTGGACTGCTTGAGTCCAGGAGTTCAAGACCAGCCTGAGCAACATGGCAAAACCCCATCTCTACAAAAAATACAAAAATTAGCTGGGCACAGTGGCATGTGCCTATAGTCCCGGCTACTTGGGAGGCTGAGGCAGGAGGATCATCTGAGCCTGGGAATCCGAGGCTGCAGTGAGCAATGCTCGCACCACTGCACTCCAGCCAGGGTGACAGGAATGAGACTCTGTCTCAGAAAAAAAAAAAAAGAGAGAGGCCAGGTGCAGTGGCTCATGCACTTTGGGAGGCTGAGGCAGGCAGATCACTTAAGGTCAGGAGTTTGAGGCCAGCCTGGCCAACATAGTGAAACCCCATTGCTACTAAAAATACAAAAAAAAAAGTTAGCCAGGCATGGTGGAATGCACCTGTAATCTCAGCTACTCAGGAGGCTGAGGCACGAGAATCACTTGAACTTGGGAGGTGGAGGCCGCACTGAGTAGAGATCATGCCACTGTGCTCAAGCATGGGTGACAGACCGAGACTCTGTCTCAAATAAATAAATAAATGATGCTATTTTTTTTTTAAAGAAAAGAAAGAAAACCGTTATCCTTAAGTACATGTCGTTTTCAATACTGGGTGTAATCAAATGGGGCATACTTATAACACGCTTGCTGCAACCCGAGGTATGATGAATGTCTCCATTGGATGATTGTTCTGCTTTTCTGATAAATTAGCTCCCTTTAGCATGATATACAATTTTTACTTGAAAGAAAGTCTAATAGACACTGGTCATTCAGATTTGGATATATTTGGCAGATATTTTCTCAAAAATGAATGAAGTGAGACTGTAATTTCAAGGGAAACAACTATTTGCTGCCCATAAAAACTTATCAGCTTCCATCTGAAAATCTCAATTTTTCTGATGAGATCAGTGGTGACAATTTTTTTTTTTTTTTTTTTTGAGACTGAGTCTCGTTCTGTCACCCAGGCTGGAGTGCAGGGGCGCAATCTCAACTGGCTGCAACCTCTACCTCCCGGGTTCAAGAGATTTGCCTGCCTCAGCCACCCGAGTAGCTGGGATTACAGGCGCATGCCACCATGCCCAGCTAATTTTTGTAATTTTAGTAGAGACGGGGTTTCACCATGTTGGCCAGGCTGGTCTCAAACTCCTGACCTCAAATGATCTGCCCGCCTCAGGTTCCCAAAGTGCTGGGATTACAGGTGTGAGCCGTCACGCCCAGCCCTAACAAATATAATTTTTTATGCTGTATAATGAATTGTCAATTGTTTCCACTAAAGATCTACATCACTCAGTGAACATTTTCCAAATAGCCAATGGGTGCTGTTACAAAGTCATGCACTTGTAGAAGAATCATTCAAAGTATAAAAGAAACCCATGGGGCTGGGTGTGGTGGCTCACACCTGTAATCCCAGCACTTTGGGAGGCCGACACGGGCGGACCACGAGCTCAGGAGATCGAGACCATCCTGGCCAATGTGGTGAAACCCCGTCTCTACTAAAAATACAAAAATTAGCCAGGAGTGGCAGCACATGCCTGTGGTCCCAGCTACTCAGGAGGCTGAGGCAGGAGAATTGCTTGAACCCGGGAGGCAGAGGCTGCAGTGAGCCAAGATTGCATCACTGCACTCCACCCTGGGGACAGAGCGAGACTCCATCTCAAAAAAAAAAAAGACCCATGGATTTTAATATAACAGGGTACAAAAAGTTCATGGATATGGTTTCAAATTCCACATTATAACTAAGCTTTGAGAAGCTACTACTTGTAAAGTTTTGGTATAATATCAAAAAAATCCACTGAAAAAGTGATCAAAATACTCCTCCTTTTTCCATCTATATATCTGATGAAGTTAGATTTTCTTCAGATGCTTCCACCAAAACAATATATCAAAACAGATTGAATATAGAAAGATATGAGAAAGTACTCATCTTCTTTTAAACCAAATACTATGGAGATACAGAAAAATGTAAAATGTAAAAATGTAGAATAATGTGCTCTCGGACATTATTTAACATTTTTCCAAGTCTCCATAGTATCTGGTTTAAAAGAAGATAGGCCGAGGCAGGCAGATCACTTGAGGTCGGGAGTTCAAGACCAGCCTGGCTAACATGGTGAAACTCTGTCTCTACTAAAAATACAAAAATCCATCCTGGCTAGCATGGTGAAAGCCCGTCTCCACTAAAAATACAAAAAATTAGCCGGGCACGCTGGCGGGCGCCTCTAGTCCCAGCTACTCGGGAGGCTGAGGCAGGAGAATGGCGTGAACCCGGGAGGCGGAGCTTACAGTGAGCCAAGATCACGCCACTGCAGTCCAGCCTGGACGACAGAGTGAGACTCCATCTCAAAAAAAAAAAAGTAGTTTTTTTGCTCTGGAAATGTCACTTCTCATAAAAATGATTATTTGTTACTGTATAACAGGCTTTTTAAAATTTATTTCTTATTTTTAATTTTGTGTACAATATACACTGGTAGATATAACCTATATAAACAAAAGGTTTTCAGGGTCTGCAGACCGTACAGGAGTCCTGAAACCAAAAAGTTTGAGAAGTGCTGCCCCAGAAACAGCCTTTCAAAGGGGTAGCAACAATCTATTCACTGCACAAAGATCTAATAACTATGATTTACTGAGCATTTACTATTTGCCATGCACTGTCCTAATCCTGACACTAATACTTTAAGTACTACCATTATCCCCAATTTACAGGTGAGGAAACTGAGGCAACTGAAGTTAACCTAATTTGCCCAAGGTCACAATACAAGTTAGTTGAAACCAAACACTTTTTTTCTTTTTTTTTGAGACAGAATCTCACTCTATCACCCAGGCTGGGGTACAGTGGCTCATTCTTTGCTCACTACAACCTCCGCCCCCAGGGTTCAAGCGATTCTCCTGCCTCAACCTCCAGAGTAACTAGGACTGTAGGCACATGCCACCACGCCCAGCTTATGTTGTAGAGATGGGGTTTCACCATGTCCGACAGGGTGGTCTCATGGTCTCAAACTCCTGACCTCAGGTGATCCACCCACCTTGGCCTCCCAAAGTGCTGGGATTACAGGCGTGAGCCACCATGCCTGGCCCCAGATGCTCTTTAGGGTCTGTGATTCATCTCCTGTTCAAACCATTAACCACCTTTTAACACAAAACTAATCATCTCAATTATTGGTATGTTTTTATTGTTCAGTTGCAAAGCAGAGTGGTATTCCTTCATAGACACTTTTTACATTAGGGGAGGGACCATTATCCTTTCTGGTTTCTCAGATCATGTTCTCAAATTAAACTTGTTCTCAGAGTTCAATAAATTGCTTTAGATGACCCTTAGGTTTAAAAATGGTGTTTGGGTATATACATTTTTCAGATCAAACTGTACGCTTAAGGCCAGGCGTGGTGGCACACGCCTATAATCCCAGCACTTTGGGAGGCTGAGGCAGGAAGATTACTTGAGCATAGTTCGAGGTTACAGTGAGCTATGATCACGCCACCGGACTTCAGCCTGAGCAACAGAGGAGACTGTCCCCAAAAAGCAAAACAAAACAAAAAAGCTACATTTGAAAGGAGTGGATGAATGCAAATTGTAATTTAGTAAAAATGTTTTAAAAAATTAAAAGTAGGGCTGGGGCGCAGTGGCTCACACCTGTAATCCCAGCACTTTGGGAGGCTGAGGCAGGTGGATCACGAGATCAGGAGTTCATGACCAGCCTGGCCAAGATGGTGAAACCCCATCTCTACTAAAAATGCAAAAATTAGCCAGGTGCAGTGGCAGGTGCCTGTTATCCCAGCTACTCGGGAGGCCGAGGCAGAAGAATTGGTTGAACCTGGGCAGCAGAGGTTGCAGTGAGCCGAGATCGCCCACCGCACTCCAGCCTGGGTGACAGAGTGAGACTCCATCTCAAAAATAAAAAATAAAACATAAATAAAAAAAATTAAAAGTACTGAGGCCGGGCATGGTGGTGGCTCAGGCCTGTAATCCCAGCACTTTGGGAGGACGAGGCAGGCGGATCACAAGGTCAAGAGATCAAGACCATCCTGGACAACATGGTGAAACCCTGTGTCTACTAAAAATACAAAAAAAAAATAATTAGCTGGGCATGGTGGCCCGCGCCTGTAGTCCCAGCTACTCGGGAGGCTGAGGCAGGAGAATCACTTGAACCCAAGAGACGGAGGTTGCAGTGAGCCAAGATCGCACCACTGTACTCTAGCCTGGAAACAGAGCGAGACTCCGTCTCAAAAAAAAAAGTACTGAGGGAACAGCCACCAGAATTTTACTTGATAACCAAAGAAGGAAAGTCGTTTAAAAATTGGTAATCAGCCCAAGTGCAGTGGCTCATGCCTGTAATCCCAGAACTTTGGGAGGCTGAAGTGGGCAGATAGCTTGAGCCCTAGGAGTTAGAGACCAGCCTGGACAACATAACATAACCCCATCTCTACGGAAAAAAAAAAATTAGCCTGCATAGTAGCATGTGCCTGTAGTCCCAGCTACTCAGGAGGCTGAGGTGGATAACCTGAGCCTCAGGGGACTGAGATTATGCCACTGCACTCCAGCCCGGGTGTCAGAGTGAGACTGTCTTAAAAAAAAAAAAAAAAAAAAAAAAACCTGGTAATCAGAATCACCTTTGGACAAAATTTCTAGGCTGTGGATTTCTTTAAAATGTGTATATTATAACAAATCTGGTATAACCTCTCACCATATTTCTATTTGTACCATATCATTTAACTCTAGAAGTTGGCTTTTATTAATCTGTCAACTTTTATGCCTTTTATATTTACTTTAAAAAGAAAACTATTACTTTTCTTTGGATTCAGGAGATAATCCATATCAGTCCTTAGTAAAGACAGCACTTAACATTATACAATTTTTAAAAAAGGAATCCTGAAGAACAAACTGTGTACACACAGACAAGCTTTTTCATTTTGGCAGACAATGATGTCAACAAGCAAGACGTTGGGTTTTTGTTTTTCTTGCATTATGTCACTTGTTGAATGCTATTTTACAACTGCATACAAATGAGTGCTCTGCTAGATACTTTGTAAACAAAATTAGGAAAATAGCTACCATTTACTGACTGCTTCCTATGTGCATTTAACTAGGTAATTCAACCAAAATCTCAGGAAAAACAAGAGGGAACAATATACTGAAGCTGTGTGGATATTTTTATACCCTTACACGCAATTAGCCGATTTCCTGAGGAGAGCATGATGTTCCCTGAAGTGTTAACAAGTATCTGCCAGCTTTTCACCCTCAAGCATTTGGAGTTCAGGCTTTTCAGTGGTAATTTTGTTTATATGTGGTTCTCACCTTCCTTCCATGTGAACTACAATTCCATCACACCTACGCTATCTACAGGATCCCTAGTCCGAGTTCACACCTGGAGGTTCCGGGTTTACATTAAGTAGCTTTCGCAAGACCACACAGCTTTTAAAAGCTACAAAGTCTAAGCAGCCTGACTCTCAAGCTCCCTTTCTAAGCACTATAATTCCATCATCCAAAATTCTCATTATCCAATGGATCCAGAAACTTATGGATTTTTAGGACTTTAAGACAAACCTGGCCATTTTACAGATAAGGAAATTGAGGTCCACAAAGGTAGAGTCGACTTGCCTGAATTCATGCAGCAGTGTCCAGATACCTTCCAACACAACGTCCAGATATGCCACACTTCCTCTTGCACAGTCCCCACCTGTCCCCACCCTCCTCGTCCCACCCTATCTACTCTTCCCAGGCCCAGTTCCACCCGGCTCCACCCAATTTCATTCCTTTCTCTTCCCCAAAGAGGTAGGAGGTACAAGTATGTGATACCCCACTTCTGGCTTCCTCAAAAGCTTAAGGAAAAGCAGCTCCACACTCACTCCCAACCCACAGATGGATTCGCCCACCAGAGAATAGGGCCGTGTGGAAAGGGTAGGGGCTGCACGGGGAAGCCTATCACTCTTAAGTAGACAATTGATGATGGGGTTCAGGTGCAACAGTCTTTTTGGCAATGGCTCTCTTCCTAGAAGTGCAATGCAAAGCAGACAAGCCGGTTGCCAGGTGCATTCAGGGAAGGAGGTGCAAAAAGTGATAGCTAATCTATGGACTTTGCCCAGCTGGCCTGCCCTGGCCCCCACAACTCTTGGAAGTGATCTGAAAAGGTATGAAACCAAGGAGGCAAGGCACACTCGGGATTGCACAGGCTCATCCCCTCCTCTTGCCTGAGATTAGAAGGGCGGGGGTAAAGGCAGGACATCCAGAGGCATCCAGCCAGGATCTTAGCTCCAGTAAAGCCAAGGAATGAATGAATGGCCACAGGCTACTCTGCAGGGCACTCACAGCCTCGCCTTCACCAAGGTCAGCCTCCCCGCTCCCCCATTCTTTATTTCAAGCATATGGGGTCTCAGAACCCAGGTCTGGCCTCTTGTCCCCTGCGTCTTAAGAGTGAGCCAGGAATCTGGGTGGGCCAAGGGATGGAGGGGCAAGAGATCTGCTGTTATGAGCCTGGCCTGGTCTTTAGAACAAAATCCTTCCCCACCAGCCTCATTCTGGGCTCTAGCTTACCATGGATCCCATGTTCTCAGCCCTCCCTTTTCTTCCTCTCCCTCCCAAAGCAGGCGCTGTGTTCTCTATAGTCAACCTGCACATGGGCCACCAGGTCTCAGTAAGGCTGTGGGTTCGATTCTCCCCTGGATGGCTGGCTCCTCACCCAGCCTTGCGCCGTGCCTCTCTGCCCTGCCCTCCCTGCCCTGGCCACACCAGCCCGACTGCACAGGCTGCGCCTGCCAGGGCCTAAGGGAGCGCCAGCCATCTTTGCTCCCTCCCCGGTGGCCCTGGAGGCCAGCTGGGCAAGGGCAGCTGCCAGGGTTGGCTGGTGGCAGCCAAGCCTTTGGGCTGTGACTTCCCAAGGAAATTCCCACCACCAAGGGTAGTGGCTGCACCTTGGGTCACAGGGGTGGGCCTGAGGCCACCAAGTCAATCCAGCCCAGTTCAGTTGCTCTACTGGACCACGTGTTTGGAAGGGAGGAAGAGTGCAGCCCACAAGGGGAAGCAGCACAGGCTCCCGGTTGCCCCTTAAGGTGCCAGGAGGCAATGAGTGGCAAAAGAGGGAGCTGGCAGGTCCGGGGCTCCAGGGACGAGGGATCCAACCTGAGAAGCCCGGGGAACCTGGGGAGGGACCGAGGCCAGACCATTGTGTAGGGTGGGGAAGGGAGATAGGCAGACGGGTGGGGGTGGGGACAGGGCTGGAGGTGGAGGTGGGGGTGGGGAGAAAGAGAGCTTGAAACAATGCGTCCTCTCCCTCTACATACACTCCCAGACACACATACACCACAGCATCTTCACGGGGCCACTCCTTGACCTGGGCCCAGTAGGGTCCCGAGATCATCCCTGACCCCGCTGGAGCCTCCAAACTGTACGGGGCACCCCCACCCTTCCTAGTTTTGAGGAAACTCGCTGTTTTACTGACCTGGAGTGTGACCCAGAGCCCTGGGGGCATCCACTTCTCGCTCCACCTTCCAGCCTGGGACATTTAAGTCACCCTGTGGGGAAAGGCCTTCTCAAGTAGCGTCCCCAGCCGAGCTCGTCTCACTCCAGAACCAGTTTCATATCTGTAGAGGACCATTGAGCATGGACCGTCTACAGCCAACTGGCCGGTGGGGAAGCGGCTTAAGCCACTCCCCCCAGGAAATCGCCCACCCTCAAGTGCTCTGTACCAAGATGAAAGAAGTGCAAATTCGGGGGTCACTTCCAATGGTAAAGTGATAGCAGCTATTGTCATCCACTCTCCCCAGCTGGGGGTGTTAAAGTGCCCTGACCCAGCTCTGAAACAAACCCCAAACTGCCCAGAGAAAAGTTGAAAGAAAGTTGAAAGATTTCCAAAGAGTTTGGGGGGAGGGGAGGGAATGGGAGGAGAAGGTTCAGATCGAAAGACCTAGGGGAAGAAAGTCTGTGGCCAGGCTTGCAGAGGAGGTGGAAGAGAGCAAAGCTGGGGCCCAGAAACTAGCTATGGATAATTGCTTAAGAGAAATACCTTGAGGCTCTCTGAACCCTCAAAATGCATCTCTTTGTGAGGCAGCTCTCACCAACCCCAGTCCTGTAAGACAGGCAGAACCAGGCAGACTGGAGAGCTACTCACGGCCCCATCATGGGGCAGTCTCCCTTCCCATCCAGGAAGGCCCCACTTTCTCTAAAGGCTGCATCTCCACCATTCTCTGAGCATCCCCCAGGCTTGGGGCTCAACACCTCTCATTCCCAAAGCAAGCCTGGGCCAGAGCTGCATCTGTTAGGAGCCAGGGGGCCTATCCCAGGGCACCTAACTTACTGAGCCCCACTGAAAGGTGGGGGCACGCAGTACCTGCAGCTTCGGTCCCTCCCCCATGGCTCACCTAGGGCCCAGGGGCCTCAAATAATCCCAGGAGGAACCAGTCCAGCCCCTGCTGATGGGGGAGGTGAAGGCCTCAGGATTGCAGCCTTGGTGGCAGCTTCCCCCCAAGGGGCTTTCCAGCCTGGCTTTAACCCTTTGGAGTGCTGTAGCTAACTGCTTCTTTCCAATTCCACCCACAGCTCCTCCGTGCTGTCTCTCCCCTGACAACCACTGTAAAATGCCCCCATGCATCCATTATGCTCCAGCTCCACTATTATCATTTTCTCCTCTCTCAATCACAGCTCCACAGTTATCACCAAAAGCAAAAATCCTTCACAAAACACCCTTTCCCAGGGGCACTGGAAGAAGAGCCGCCACACTTGAACTCAAGTCCAGTTCCTGCATCTTAATCACACCCGCCCCACCCACCAGGAATGGCAGTGGCCTGAGGCTGTGGCTTAGCGGGTGTCTTGGACTTGGGTTTGAATGCCAATCCTGCCCCTTACTAGAATGTGGCCTTGGGCAAATTGTTTAACCCCTCCCAGCCTGACTTTGTGGTTAATGGGGTATAGCATCTACCCCAGAGAGTCATTGGATAAATTCCACGAGATGATAAAATTTAAAACATTTAGAACTCTGCTTGGTACAAAGAAAGTGTATTCTAGTTCTCAGCCTTTCCAGTTAATTTGAAATTATGTTTAAATTCTTAATATAAATATGCTGTATTTTTAAAGTTTTGGAGAATAGTGGTTATCTCATAGGAGGAGATGGAATTACGAAATACCTTTTCTTTCCACACTATGTTCTCTCTGTGCTGTTTGACATTTTATAAAAAACGTCTGCATTACTTGCTATCATTTTAAAAACCAATGAAGATAATTTAAAAATTTTTAAAAGGCTAATGGAATCTTTCAAAGTGTTTTTTAAAAAGAAAGTAGTGAAAAAACAAAAAGGTTTGTTGGCTTTTCCATTACAAAAGTAAGAGTGTTATTTAAGAATAATTGGGAAATTTTTTTAAAGTAAAGTAAAGGGAAGAAAAATTACCTATAATCCCATTATCTAAAGACAGCTATTGTTAACATCTCAGTATATTTTGTTCTAATCCAGTTCTTTTTTCTTAGAATTACACAAGTTAAGCATTCTCTTTACAAAAGATTGAAATAATACAGAATAAAATGGCCAGGCGTGGTAGTGCATGCCTATAGTCCCAGCTACTCGGAAGGCTGGGGCCAGAGGATTGCTTGAGTCCACAAGGTAGAAGCTGCAGTGAGCTATGATGGCACTGTTGCACCACTACACTCCAGCCTGGGTGACAGAGTGAGATCCTGTCTTAAAAAAAGAAAAAAAAAGAGTAGGTAAGCAAGTCCTTGTTCCACACCCAACACATTCTCCTCACTAAACCTGCCAGTCCTTTTGCTGTGCATTTTCATCTTTCTTTTCTTTTCTTTTCTTTTTTTGACACAGGGTTTCACTCTGTTGCTGCTGGGGTGAGATGGTGGGATCATAGCTCACTGCAGCCTCAAACTCCGAGCTCGAGTGATCCTGCCACCTCAGCCTCCCGAGGAGCTGGGACAACAGGCACACGCCACCATGCCCAGATAAATTTTTTTTTTTTTTAATAGAAACAGGGTCTCCCTATGTTGCCCAGACTGGTCTCAAACTCCTGGGCTCAAATCCTCCTGCCTTAGCCTCCCAAAGTGCTGGGATTACAGGTGCAAGCCACCGTACCCAGCCCATTTTCATCTTTTTATGTGCATATATACGTGTTTATTTTTCTAGTTTCTCTATGGGTATTTTCCTTGCTTTTCTTTTTCTTTTTTTTTTTTTTTTGGAGATGGAGTCTTGCTGTTGTTGCCCAGGCTGGAGTGCAGTGGCACAATCTCGGCTCACCTCAACCTCCAACTCCCAGGTTCAAGTGATTCTCCTGCCTAAGCCTCCCCAGTAGCTGGGATTACAGGCCCCTGCCACCACACCCAGCTAATTTTTGTATTTTTAGTAGAGACAGGGTTTCGCCATGTTGGCCGGGGTGGTCTCGAACTCCTGACCACAGGTGATCCACCCACTTTGGCCTCCCAAAGTGCTGGGATTACAGATGTGAGCGACCATGCCTGGCCAAGGATATTTTTGTTTTATGTTAAGCTATTTTAAAAACATTTTTGACTAAGTAATAATAGGCAGGGTGCAACTGGGTGTTTCACCAACATGGTGAAACCTTGTCTCTACTAGAAATATAAAAATTAGCCGGGCATGGTGGCAGGTGCCCATAATCCCAGCTACTCGGGAGGCTGAGGCAGGAGAATTGCTTGTACCTGGGAGACAGAGGTTGCAGTGAGCTGAGATTGTGCCACTGCACTCCAGCCTGGGCGATAGAGTGAAACTCCATCTCAAAAAAAAAAAAAAAAAAAAAAATAGGCAGGGTGCAGTGGCTCATGTCTGTAATCCCAGCACGTTGGGAGGCCAAGGCAGAAGGATCAGTTGAGCCCAGGAGTTCGAGACCAGCCTGGGCAAACACACCAAGCTCCCATCTCTGCAAAAATTTAAAAATTGGCCAGGCATGGTGGTATGAACCTGTGATCCTACTTACTCAGGGCTGAGGCAGGAGGATCAATAAGCCCAGGAGGTGAAGGCTGCAGTGAGCCAAGGTTGTACCACTGCACTTCAGCTTGAGCAACAGAGCAAGACCTTGTCTCAAAAAAATAAATGAAAAATAAAAATAAAAATTTTACAAAAAGATCAGGATTCAAATTTCAGCTCTTTTCTCTACTACAGTTTCTCTCTCCAGAAGCAGCCAGTATTGTTTCTAGTGCATCACTCCAGAGATGGGTTATGTATAAACAAGCAAGTATCAGAGACAGAGCTTTTTTCCTTTCTTTAAAGCACAAATGGTAGTCTACTATACACTCTTATGCACCTTGCTTTTTTCACTTCATTTTTTTATCCAGAGCCACTACTGTCCAATGAAATTTAAAGAGGGTTACACACATATTTTTACATTTTTCTTTTTTTCATTTTTTTTTTTTTTAGTCAGAGTCTCCATCTGTTGCTCAGGCTGGAGTGCAGTGCCGCGATCTCAGCTCACTGCAACCTCTGCCTCCCAGGTTCAAGTGATTCTCCTGCCTCAGCCTCCTGAGTAGCTGGGATTACAGATGCCCACCACCACGCCCCTGCTAATTTTTTTGTATTTTTAGTAGAGACAGGGTTTTACCATGTGGCCAGGCTGGTTTCGAACTCCTGACCTCAAGTGATCCGCCCACCTCAGCCTTCCAAAGTGCTAGGATTACAGGTGTGAGCCACCATGCCCAGCCACTTTTACATTTTCCAGTGAACACTTTTTTTTTTTTTTTTTTTGAGACAGTCTTGCTCTGTCACCCAGGCTGGAGTACACTGGCATGATCACGGCTCACTGCAGCCTTGACCTTGATCAAGCAATCCTCTCACCTCAGCTTCTCCAACTGGCTGGGACCATAGCTGGGCACCACCATATCTGGCTAATTTTTTTTTTTTTTTTTGTAGAAAGCAGAGTCTTGTTATGCTGTCCAGGCTGGTTTTGAACTCCTGCGTTCAAGTGATCCTCCCCCTTTGGCCTCCCCAAATGCTAGGATTATAGGCATTAGCTACCATGCCCAGCCGGTAAACACATTTTTTAAAGTTAAAAGGAGGCCAGGCGTGGTGGCTCACACCTGCAATCCCAGCACTTTGGGAGGCTGAGGCAGGTGGATTACTTGAGGTCAGGAGTTCGAGACCAGCCTGGCCCACATGGTGAAACCCCCGCATCTACAAAAATACAAAAAAATAAGCCGGGCATGGTGGCGCACACCTGTAATCCCAGCTACTCGGGAGGCTGAGACAGGAGAATCACTTGAACCCGGGAGGCGGAGGTTGCAGTGAGCCGAGATCACGCCACTGTACTCCAGCCTGGTGACAGAGTGAGACTCCGTCTTAAAAAAAAAAATTAATGCGATGTATGTTTTACATTCCTTTTTTGTACCAAGTCTTCAAAATCTGGTGTGTATTTTACACTTAAAGCACATCTCAATTGGGATTAGCCACATTTCAGATACTCCACAGCCACATGTGGCTGGTGGCTTCTATTTTAGCCGAGATAGCATGAACTCCATTTAATGCATGGGCGTGATTTATGGATCCAGTCTTCTACTGATGAACATTAAGGTCATTTCCATCTTTTGCTGATTGAACCATGCTACGGTGGGTAAGCCTGTACATGCATAATTTTCCACATGTACAAGTATAGCCGTACCTTCAAATTGTATGTGTAATAGTAATTTGTATAGATCTTGCAAATTTCCCCACTTAGAAGTTATACCAGGCCAGTCAGGCACGGTGGCTCACGCCTGTAATCCCAGCCCTTTGGGAGGCTGAGGCGGATGGATCACCAAGGTCAGGAGTTTGAGACCAGCCTGGCCAACATGGTGAAACCCTGTCTCTACTAAAACTACAAAAATCAGCTGGGTATGGTGGCATGTGCCTGTAATCCCAGCTACTCAGGAGATTGAGGCAGGAGAATCGCTTGAACCTGGAAGGTAGAGTTTGCAGTTAGCCAAGGTCGCAGCACTGCACTCCAGCCTGGCCACAGAGCAAGACTCTGTCTCAAAAAAAAAAAGTTGTATCAATTTACTTTCCCGAAAACAGTATGAGAGTACAATTTCTCCACCCTGCCAGTATAATGTGTTATCAGAAAAAGTGTTTTATAATCTTTGTCAATCTAATAGGTGAAAAATTATTCCCTCAGTATAGTTTTTTTGTTTTTCTCAGTATAGTTTTAATTTACATTTTTAAATTATGATGAAAGAGCATTTTTCATATATGTAAGAGCCTTTTAGACTGGCGTGGTGGCTCACACCTGTAATCCTAGAACTTTGGGAGGTCAAGGCAGGAGGACTTGAGCCCAGGAGTTCAACACCAGCTTGAGCAACACAGTGAGACCTTGTCTCCACAAAAGTAAAAAAGAAAAAGTTAGCCCTGTGTGGTGTCATGCGCCTGTAGTCCCAACTACTTGGGAGGCTGAGGAGTTCAAGGTTGTAGTGAGCTGTGATCACACCACTGCAATCCAGTCTGGGTGACAGAGTGAGACCCTGTCTCAAGGAAAAAAAAAAAGCCATTTGTGTTTTTTTCCTTTGAATATCCTTTGCCCATTTTCCTATTGGATTATAGCCCTTTTTCTTATTGATTTGTCAGAGCTTTGTACAGTGTGTATATGTGTGTATATATATGTACACATATATGCACACACATACACATATATACATTCACGTGTATGTGCGCATATACATATATACACGAATACATATATACACATATTTACATACACATACATGTATAGTTTTATTTTGCACAAGCCCTCAGAAATAAATGTAGGATATATTAAGACAGTCCTTGGTTGATGACAGGAATTAGAAATATTTTTTCTGAATTTGTGGTTCCTAGTTGGACTTTGAACCACAGTCCGAACAGATATGGTACAAATCTGTCTTGTCTTTTTTTTTTTTCTGAAGCAGGGTCTTGCTGTGTCACCCAGGCTGGAATGCAGTAGTGTAGTCACAGCTCATTGCAGCCTCGAACTCCTGAGTTCAAGGGATTCTTCTGCCTCTGCCTCCGCCTCTGCCTCCTGAGGAACAGGAGCATACCATACCCAGGCTGATCTCAAACTCCTGGACTGACGTATCTGTCTTTTCTTTAATGGGTTTGGGATTTGGTAAATTTTAATTTACTTTTATTTAAACTGTCAAGATGAGATGTCACAAAATTAAGGGCCTGGTTATTAAGGTGTTCAAACACCAAAATCCCAGTTTCCCAGCAATAACTAAACCAGCTTCCACAAGTAGACATCTTTAGTTAATATATACCTCGCTTTGAACAAAATTCAGATTTCAGAAGCAGAGGAGTTGGGGGTAATCCTTCACTTACAAAAAGACATGCGGCCAGGTGTGGTGGCTCACGCCTGTAATCCCAGCACTTTGAGAGGCCGAGGCATGTGGATCACCTGAGGTCAGGAGTTCGAGACCAGCCTGGCCAACATGGTGAAAGCCCATCTCTACTAAAAATACAAAAACTAGCTGGGCATGGTGCTGGGCGCCTGTAATCCCAGCTACTCTGGAGGCTGAGGCAGGAGAATCACTTGAACCCAGGAAGCGAAGGTTGCAGTGAGCCAAGAAGGTGCCATTGCACTCCAGCCTGGGCAACAAGAGCAAAACTCTGTCTCAAAATAAATAAATAAAGAGACATGCAATAGAAAAGCTTTAAAGAAGTAATTAACAATGTTTATGTTTAAATTTACAGCTTTCCAGGGGTTGTGTAAGTGGTGGCTCACCTGAACTTGCATCAGCTACTAAAAGCAAGTCCTATGTTGAACAGGACATTGATTGGGTGGTAAAAAGTCTAAATTTTGGAGTATGATAGGGTCAGTATTCCAGCTTTGCCCTGTGGGACATGGAGTAAATTACCTGGCCTCCCCAGATCTAATTGCTCTCTTAGAAAATGATGGTAACAACCCCAGAGAGGTTGCTGTGAGGATTAAATGGAAAAACTGTGAAATTCTTAGCACTGGTCTAATAATGAAATGCTCAGTAAATAGTGCTGCTATTCAGTTATTCTCTTCCCTACTCACCTTCTTTCTACAGAGATTTAAAGAATTCATCCATCTGTCCCATCAATTAATTCATTCACTCAATGACTTGTTAAATAATTTGTTATTTCAGCTGGGCACGGTGGCTCACACCTGTAATCCCAGCACTCTGGGAGGCCGAGGCAGGCGGATCACAGGGTCAGGAGATCAAGACCATCCTGGCCAACATGGTGAAACCCCGTCTCTACTAAAAACACAAAAATTAGCCGGGAGTGGCTGCGCGTACTCCAGCTACTCAGGAGGCTGAGGCAGGAGAATTGCTTGAACCCAGGAGGCAGAGGCTGCAGTGAGCTGAGATTGCGTCACTGCACTCCAGCCTGGGCGACAGAGCAAGACTCCGTCTCAAAAAATAAAAATAAAAATAAATTGTTATTTCATATAATTCATCATTCATTCAATCATTTATTTATTCACTTGTGCATTTATTCATACATTCAGTCATTCATTCAACAGATATTTGAGCTCTTAATATGTGCCAGGTTCCAGGCTAGCCCCAGGAATACAATGATGTCTACAGACTGAACTCTAGACTTTAGAGTGTGAGAGTTGAAACTCAAAAGGCTTCTCATTGGCCGGGTATGGTGGCTCACGCCTGTAATCCCAGCACTTTGGGAGGCGGAGGTAGGCGGATCACCTCTCAGGAGTTCAAGACCAGCCTGACCAATATGGTGAAACCCCGTGTCTACTAAAAATACAAACATGGCCGGGCGCGGTGGCTCACGCCTGTAATCCCAGCACTTTGGGAGGCCGAGGTGGGTGGATCACCTGAGGTCAGGAGTTTGAGACCAGCCTGACCAACATGGAGAAACACCGTCTCTACTAAAAATACAAAATTAGCCGGGCGTGGTGGCACATGCCTATAATCCCAGCTACTAGGGAGGCTGAAGTAGGAGAATCGCTTGAACCTGGGAGGCGGAGGTTGCGGTGAGCTGAGATCGTGCCCTTGCACTCCAGCCTGGGCAACAAGAGCAAAACTCCGTCTCAAAAAAAAAAAAAAAAAAATACAAACATTAGCTGAGTGTGGTGGCACACACCTGTATTCCCAGCTATTGGGAAGGCTGAGGAAGGAGAATTGCTTGAACCCAGGAGGCAGAGGTTGCAGTGAGCTGAGATCATGCCACTGCACTCTAGCCTGGGCAGCAGAGTGAGACTCCATCTCAAAAAAAAGAAAAGGCTTCTCATTCATTCTACAACACAACAAACACCTATTATATTCACTGTAAACAAAGGCCTTAAATCCAATTACTGCTAGTCTTACTTTTATGACATGTTCTCCTAGCTTCTTTTATTTTCTGTTTTTGAGACAGGGTCTTCTCTGTTGCCCAAGCTGGAATTCAGTGGTGCAATCACAGCTCACTGCAGCCTCAAAATACTGGGCTCAATCGATCCTCCCGCCTCAGCCTCCCAAGTAGCTGGGACTACAGGCATGTGCCACCATGCCCAATGAAATTTTTTCTTATTAGTAGAGATGGTGCCTCACTATTTTTCCCAGCCTGCTCTAGAACTCCTGGGCTCAAGTGATCCTCCCACTGCCTTGGCCCCTGAAGTGTTGAGATTACAGACATGAGCCACCATGCCCACCCTGATTTCTTTTTCTTTTGTTCTTTCTTTCTCCTTCCTTTTTCTCTCCCCCTCCTCCACCCTTCTCTTTTACCCTCTCTTGCCTGTACCCAGGACTGAGACCTTTACTCCCCCATCCAGAGTCCCTTGGTGACTACCAAGAGATGGATGACCACTCAGACTCTGGAGTCAGAGCAACCAGAATTGAGTCTCAGCTCCCCTACTTCCTAGTTACAGAACTTTGAACATGCCTGACCCTCAGTTTCCTCATCTGTGAAATGGGGCGAGTGATATCTACTTTACAGGGCCAATGAAATGATCTGATAAAACAGCCATAACACTACTTGGCCCTGAGGAAATAATACCAGGGAAATATGATTGTCAATTCAAATTACAATTAGTGGCTCCCACCTGTAATCCTAGCTACTTGGGAGGCTGAAGCAGGAGGATCACTTGAGGCCAGGGGTTCAAAGTCAACCTGGGCACCCTAGTAAGACCCTGTCTCAAAAAAAAAGAAAAGAAAAAAATGGCTTGGCACAGTGGCTCACTCTTGTAATCCCAGCTCTTTGGGAGTCCAAGTCAGGCAGATCACCTGAAGTCAGGAGTTCGAGAGCAACCTGGCCAACATGGTGAAACCTCATCTCTACTAAAAATCTAAAAATTAGCCGGGCATGGTGGCTCACACCTGTAGTCCCAGCTACTCAGGAGGCTGAGGCACAAGAATTGCTTGAACCCAGGAGGCGGAGGTTGCAGTGAGCTGACATCTTGCCACTGCACTCCAGCCTGGGCAACAGAGTGAGACTCGATCTCAAAAATAAAAAATAAAAATAGTTAGCTGAATGTGGTGGCATGCAACTATAGTCCCAGCTACTCAGGAGGCTGAAGCAGGAGGATCACTAGAGCCCAGGAGTTTGAGGCTTCAGTGAGCTGTGATTATGCCACTCCACTCCAGCCTGGGCAACAGAGCAAGATTCTATCTCTAAAACAAAAAACAAATTACAATTTGTTAAACATCTACTCTGTGTAGGCATTATACTCAGCTCTGTGGAAGACACACAAAGAGTGAACGCAGTCTTCCAGTCAGGACAGAAGAGTGCATAGCAAATTCTCTATGGTAAGAGCTCATAATGAGAGCTACCATGACTTGCTATTACTGAGGAAAGTAACAAGTATTTCTTGAGCCCCTCATTCCTGGGTACTGGCGTTTCTCAGAGATCTGTGCTAAGAGGGCTGTCAGGCTGATGCTGGCTTCTCTGGTTTCATTTGCAACTCCAATCTAACATTATTCATGGCTTTAAGTCATTTCACTTAGGGGTAAGTGTGAATATAGATTAGATATTAGAGTATACGAAGCAATTAATGTTAAATTTGTTAGGAGTGAGAACAGTATGATGGTTACATAGGAAAATGTTCTAAACTTTTAGATATACATTTCAGAATTTAGGAATAAAATGTCAGGGATTTGATTTTTTTAATCAGAAAAAAGAATATATATGGCACAATGTGATACTTTTTGGATCAGGAGTTCATTTTACTATTCATTCTGAGTGGTTCATTATACCATTTTTCATTTTGGGTGTGCTTAATAACTTTTACAATAAAAAGATGAAACATTTTATTTGAGGAGTGAAGTATCACTTTAAAGGAGCAAAGGGGAAGGACACTTACCTGCAAGCCAGGCTCCCACTTCAGGGAAAAGCAGGCAGCCCAGGTACCTGGGATGGGCAATGTCATTGGCAACCTGGATTGCCATCTGCTTGTTTGCAGGGTCTTTGATAGGTGCCTTTGGGGCAGTGGGCTTCACAGAGCAGCTGTCCTCAGGAAACGTACCTGGCGAGGCAAGAAGGCTTGTCAATAACTCAGCCCTTCTCCCACCCCAAGAAAACAGGCACAGGTACCCACTAGGGGAACAGTTGGCCCTGAAGCAGTTTCAAGGGCTTGTGGTCCTTCCCCTCCGAGTTTGTTGCATTTCTTCAGCCCTCTCTATTTCATCCATGAAGGGGAAACAAGACCACAAGGCCAAACTCAACGTCTCCCAATCACCCTGCTCTTCCTCTCAGGCCTAGTATCTTTGGTCTTGGTTAGTTTACTCCCAACTCCTTTCATCCCCCATTACCACACACTGGCAACCACCTTTATTAGTTTCCTTCCAGAGTTTCTTTTTTTGTTGTTTTGTTTGTTTGTTTGTTTTTGTTTGTTTTTTGTTTTTTTGAGGCAGGGTCTCACTCTGTCACCCAGCTAGAGTAAAGTGGCACGATCTCGGCTCACTGCAACCTCCGCCTCCCAGGTTCAAGCAATTCTCCTGCCTCAGCTTCCCGAATAGCTGGGACTACAGGCATGTGCCACCATGCCCAGCTAATTTTTGTATTTTTAGTAGAGACTGGGTTTCACCATGTTCACCAGACTGGTCTCAAACTCCTGACCTCAAGTGATCCACCCACCTCAGTCTTAAAGTGCTGGGATGACAGGCGTGACCCACTGCACCTGGCCCAGAGTTTCTTTTCATCAGTACAAACAGATACAAAAATACATTCTTCAAGGACAGTATGTTCTGAACAGGCATAAACCCAATTCAAAGTAAATTTTCAAAATACGTAAAATTACAAAATGTTCCAGGTAAGAGTGAAGTAAGTGTGGGAGTTGTTAGCATCTAGATAAGATCTAAAGCCAAAGGGGTAAGAAAAGAGGAGAAAAAGAGGAGAGAAAGAAAAAGGACAATTCTCTAAAGTCACCTAGAGGAAAATAGCGAAAAAAATTACCAAGAGGAAACTTTTTTTTTGAGATGGAGTTTCGCTCTTGTTGCCCAGGCTGGAGTGCAATGGCACGATCTCAACTGACCGCAACCTCCACCTCCGTCTGGTTCAAGCGATTCACCAGGAGGGAACATTTTAGTTCAATTATATTACCCACTACTGATGTGTCAATAGATCTATGGGAACTAACCCAGAAAGATAGCCAAATTAAAGTGGGATTTCAGAGTTAAATAAATCTTATGAATCCACTTTTGCAAAAATCTATCTATTATGTATGTATATATATATACACGTGTTTAGGGAGTAGAAAGAAGTGTCTGGGAGACTATAAATGGAGCAAACTAATGGAAAACCCTGGAGAAGAGGTTTGTGGAAAGAGGCGGGTTTTTTTTGAGACAGAGTTTCACTCTTGTTGCCTAGGCTGGAGTGCAATGGTGCAATCTCGGCTAACTGCAACCTCCGCCTCCCAGGTTCAAGCAATTCTCCTGCCTCAGCCTCCCGAGCAGCTGGGATTACAAGCATGCAGCACCATGCCCAGCTAATTTTGTATTTTTAGTAGAGACAGGGTTTCTCCATGTTGGTCAGGCTGGTCTCAAACTCCTGACCTCAGGTGATCTGCCTGCCTCAGCCTCCCAAAGTGCTGGATTACAGGCGTGAGCCACCGCACCTGGCCAGCTTTTTTACTTTGCACACTTCAGTTTTGTTTGCATTTTTGCCACAAGAATGCATTCTTTTTGTAAATAAATAAAGAAGATCTGAGGCTGGGTGCGGTGGCTCACACCTGTAATACCAGCACTTTGAGAAGCCGAGGCAGGCAGATCACTTGAGGTCAGAAGTTTGAGACCAGCCTGGCCAACATGGTGAAACCCCATCTCTACTAAAGACACAAAAATTAGCTGGGCCTAGTGGTTCATATCTGTCATCCCAGCTATTCGGGAGGCTGAAGCAGGAGAATTGCTTGAACCCAAGAGGCGGAGGTTGCAGTCAGCCGAGACCATACCACTGCACTCCAGCCTGGGCAACAGAGCAAGACCCTATCTCACAAAAAAAAAAAAAAAATAGAACATCTGTAAAAGGGGAGAAACTGCTTAAGGACACCTATATTGAAAATTTCTAAGCCTGTATAGAATGGCAATGAAAATCACTGGCTTTAGAGTTGAATAAACATGGGTTTAAATCCCAGCTCTACTGAGCCTTAATTTCCTCATCTGTAAAATAGTGATATAATAATATAGGTTCATTACAGGCCTGTGATAAGGATTAAATGAAAGAAATACAAGTCAGGCATTTAGTACAGTGGCTATCATACACAAAATGCTCAATTAATATTAGTCATATTTTAAAATAGTGATTAGATCAAACTAGCCAATCAGAGAGGTATGTACTTGGACCACATTACGTTGACACCTCTAGACCTACTGTCACTGAATTGCTTTTTCTGTGTCATGCTTTGGATCCCCACTGAGGGTTATTGGATGTGTCTGCTACATGGCTTCCCATATTCTATTATCCAGTTATGGTTATTCTTTCTTGCTCTGTCACCCAGGCTGGAGTGCAGTGGCATGATGTCAGCTCACTGCAAACTCCGCCTCCCAGGTTCAAGTTATTCTCCTGCCTCAGCCTCCCTAGTAACTGGGATTGCAGGCATGCACCACCACACCTGGCTAATTTTGTATTTTTAGTAGAGACAAGGTTTCACCATGTTGACCAGGCTGGTCTCAAACTCCTGACCTCAAGTGATCCACCTGCCTCGGCCTCCCAAACTGCTGGGATTACAGGTGTGAGCCACCGTGCCTGGCCTTTGTGTTATGGTTATTTGAATGCAGGTCTCCCCTACTAGATTTCTTTGAAGGCAGGAATCATACTCTTTGTCTTCGTATTCTTCAAGTTACTCAATGGTGATGTGAAGACTGCTACTCTTATCTACTGCCAGAATCCAATCCATAGACCCACCCTCCGTACCAAGGAGCTCAGAGGTGGGCGGCATGTACCTGGGAGTATGCAAGATGATTCTCAGAAGAACTTCCGTGTAGATACATATTTTCTTTCATTCTTTTCCATTTCTACATTTGTGTTTTACAAGGCACAGAATATAATAGTGCATACATATCATTTATAAAGAAATATACCTATGTTGGGAAGTTTAACCATTTTGCTCATGGAATGTTAACCTATAAAATTTGGAAAACAGTATCTTCTTTATGAGTTCTCTCAGACTCAGGGTCACAAAAAGCTATGTTTCTCCCCAGCAATTGGTTTATTGTTTGTTTGACATGGAGTCTTGCTCTGTCATCCAGCCTGGAGTGCAGTGGTGCAATCTCAGCTCACTGCAACTTCTGCCTCCTAGGCTCAATTGATGCTCCCACCTCAGCCTCCCTAGTAGCTGGGACTACAGGCACCCACCGCCATGCCTGGGTAATGTTTTGTATTTTTATTAGAGATGGGGTTTCACCATGTTGCCCAGGCTGGTCTCGAACTCATGAGCTCAAGCAATCCGCCCGCCTCAGCCTCCCAAAGTGCTGGTATTACAGGCATGAGCCACTGTGCCCAGCCTAGGTTTATTGTTTTTAATGAACTTATATCATTTAATACCTTTCCTTCTTGGCTTTGGCTTCCAGGAACCTCAGAGCCAAACCACAAACCAGATGTATGCATAGAATGCCTAACATTCACGTTCTGAGGGCTTTAGTAATGAGCGTAGCTTCTGGAACCACATTGCCTGGGTGAGCCACTTACTACTTGTGTGAACTTGGGCAAGTTGCTTAACCTCTTTGTGCCTCAGTTCCCTCATCTGTGAAATGGTGATTGTAACTGTAGTAACCTCATAGAATCATTATGAAGATTAAATAAGATGGTGCATGTAAAGCAACTAGAACAATGCAGTGAACATATAGTGAACACTCAAATGTTGTTATGTTGTTTTATTTTATTTATTTATTTATTTTTATTTATTTTTTTTTGAGACAGAGTCTCGCTCTGTCGCCCAGGCTGGAGTGCAATGGCGCGATCTTGGCTCACCGCAACCTCCACCTCCCGGGTTCAAGCGATTCTCCTACCTCAGCCTCCAGAGTAGCAGGAATTACAGGCATGCGCCACCATGCCTGGCTAATTTTTGTATTTTTAGTAGAGATGGGGTTTCACCATGTTGATCAGGCTGGTCTTGAACTCCTGACCTCAGGTGATCCGCCTGCCTCGGCCTCCCAAAGTGCTGGGATTACAGATGTGAGCCACCATGCCCACCCTGTTGTTTTAATGTTATTATTCACTCTTACTCAATGATTTCTTTACCCTTGCTTTTCTTTTTTCCTTTTTGAGACAGAGTCTCACTCTGTCCCAGGCTGGAGTACAATGGCATCATCTTGGCTCACTGCAGCCTTGATCTCCCGGGTTCAAGTGATCCTCCCACCTCTTTTTTTTGAGATGGAGTCTCGCTCTGTCGCCCAGGCTGGAATGCAATGGTGTAATCTCGGCTCACTGCAACCTCCGCCTTCTGGGTTCAAGCAGTTCTCCTGCCTCAGCCTCCTAAGTAACTGGGATTACAGGCACATGCCACCACACCCAGTTAATTTTTGTATTTTTAGTAGAGACGGGGTTTCACCATGTTGGTCAGGCTGGTCTCGAACTCCCGACCTCGGGTGACCCGCCCGCCTCGGCCTCCTAAAGTGCTGGGATTACAGGCATGAGCCACCGTGCCTGGCATATAAACATATTTTTTAATGTGCCAGTCACTGTGTTAGGCATTTGAAGAATACAAAGACAAAGAATGTGATTTCTGCCTTCAAAGAAATCTAGCTTGGGAGACATGCATCCAAATAACCATAACCCGAGAATAGAATATGGGAAGCCATGTAACAGACATGTCTGAATGCCATGAGGACACTGAGGAGCTGAGACCCAGGAAAGTTTCCTGAAGAAGGTGGCATGGGAGAGCAAAGATTTCAAGAGAAGGAAGCAATGGAAGATGCATGACAGTCTCTGCAGGACTAATGTGCCACTCACACTGCTGGGTCCAAGTGGGTGCTCAAGAAATACCTGTTTGTGAATATTTGATTCAAGCAATGTGAAAAGAGGTAAAAAGAGTTGATGGGACAATGCCCAAGGGCACTGGTTGTTAAAGGAAGTGAAGAAAAAAAAATAGATTAGGAGGCCAGGCATGGTGTCACGCCTGTAATCCCAGCACTTTGGGAGGCCGAGGTGGGCAGATCACCTGAGGTCGGGAGTTCGAGACCAGCCTGACCAACATGGAGAAACCCCATCTCTACTAAAAATACAAAAAAATTAGCCGGGCAAGGTGGCACATACCTGTAATCGCAGCTACTCAGGAGGCTGAGGCAGGAGAATCGCTTGAACCCGGGAGGCGGAAGTTGCAGTGAGCCGAGATCGCGCCACTTCCAGCCTGGGCAACAACAGCAAAACTCCATCTAAAAAAAAAAAAAAAAAAAAAAAAAAAAAAAAAAAAAAAAACAGATTAGGAGTCGATCCTCCGGAGGGGGAAAGGTAGACTTGTCCTGCCAGGCCAGAAAACACAGGTGTGAAAGCCAGGTAAGCAGCAGTTGCTTTGAGGGAGGAGGAAATGGAAGCTTTGGGATTGGGAGTGAGTAGGTTTGGGAGGGGTCCTCTGTGCAAATCTATCTACAATACAGAACAAAGGTCCAAAACCCCTAACATCTCCCCTTGGGGCTCAGAGATGGGACCTTCCTTTTTTTTCCCATGGTGTGGCTTCAACTTCAGGCCCTTGCAGAACTACATATGGGCACAGTCTTTTAAGGTGTCCTATCATCTCTAAGCAAAGTAATCCCAGATAACTTCAGCCACATGCTCCCTTCCTTTGGACGCATATGTAGGGTGAGCCTGAAAATGAGGGACCTAATCACAGTTGATTTCCCACCCCAAGTGTCCCTTAGAAGTGACAGAGTGTGGTGAACAAAGTACGGAATTTGGAGTTGAACAAAACTGGGCTTTTACTTCTAGCTTCTAACAAGATACTAACCTAGTTAAATTAATCTGTAAAATAAGGATGTCAATGTCTGCGTGAAAGGCATGTTGTGAAGATTTCACGTCTTACACAACGTAAAGTGTGCACATCTAGTATTCTGCAGGCACTAAAATTACCTCTAAGCTCCCTCCATTCCTGAAATGAATAAGCTAGAACTTATTGAGGACTTCTACTATATCAGGCACTGTGCAGACTTGTGTGTTTTCTTTTTTGTATATATATATATATATATATATATATATATATATATATATATATAAAATTTTTTTTTTTTGAGATGGAGTTTTGCTCTTGTTGCCCAGGCTGGAGTGCAATGGTGCAATCTTGGCTCACTGCAACCTCTGCCTCCTGGGTTCAAGCGATTCTCCTACCTCAACCTCCTGAGTAGCTGGAATTACAGGCACCTGCTACCATGCCTGGCTAATTTTTTCTGTTTTTAGTAGAGACAGAGTTTCACCATGTTGGCTGGGCTGGTCTCGAACTCCTGACCTCAGGTGATCCATCTGCCTCTGCCTCCCAAAGTGCTGGCATTACAGGCATGAGCCACTGTGCCCAGCCCAGACTTGTGGTTTGTTTGTTTGTTTATTTATTTATTTATTTTTGAGACGGAGTCTCACCGTGTCCCCCAGTCTGGAGTGCAGTGGCGCGATCTCGGCTCACTGCAAGCTCCGCCTCCCGGGTTCACGCCATTCTCCTGCCTCAGCCTCCCGAGTAGCTGGGACTACAGGTGCCCGCCACCATGCCCAGCTAATTTTTTGTATTTTTTTTAGTAGAGACGGGGTTTCACTGTGTTAGCCAGGATGGTCTCGATCTCCTGACCTCGTGATCCACCCACCTGGGCCTCTCAAAGTGCTGGGATTACAGGCGTGAGCCACCGTGCCCGGCCCAGACTTGTGTTTTATTCATGCTCCTGTTTTGCCAATGAGGAGGTGGTTCTTGCCCTTCGGAATGAGGCAACAACGTGGGCTCTTTCCCTTCTTTCTGCTCTTGCAGACTTGATCTGCTAGAGTCAAGTGGTCAACTTCTAGAACGCCTCAGGTGTAGTCAGAAAGTCTGATACTGCTGTTGGGCGCGGTGGCTCACGCCTGTAATCCCAGCACTTTGGGAGGCTGAGGCAGGCGGATCACCTGAGGTCAGGAGTTCAAGACCAGCCTGACCAGCATGGAGAAACCCCGTCTCTACTAAAAATACAAAATTAGCCGGGCGTGGTGGCACATGCCTGTAATCCCAGCTACTAGGGAGGCTGAGGCAGGAGAATCACTTGAACCTGGGAGGCAGAGGTTGCAGTGAGCCAAGATCGCACCATTGCACTCCAGCCTGGGCAACAAGAGCGAAACTCTGTCTCAAAAAAAAAAAAAAAAAGTTTGATACTGCTAAGGGCTATACTTCAACTAACTGAGTGCTTACATAAGTCTAGTAGTAATTCAAGGCCACTCTGGGTCCTTTACTTTTTTTCCCCAGAAAGAGCAGGGCAAGTAGTATCTGTTTAGTTTTCATGTAGAACAAACAGAGTATCACCTCACTTTCCTTTCCAAATCAACCTTTCCTTCCTTCCATTTCTTTAGAAAAGTGTTTCCCAACTTGGCTGCCCATGGGAAACACCTGGGGAGATTTAAAAAATGCTTTCCAGGCCCGGCACAGTGGCTCACACCTGTAATCCTAGCACTCTGGGAGGCCGAGGCAGGCAGATCACTTGAGGTTAGGAGCTCAAGACTAGTTTGGCCAACATAGCGAAACCCCGTCTCTACTAAAAAATACAAAAAAACTAGCCGGGCATGGTGACACGTGCCTGTAATCCCAGCTACTCAGGAGACTGAGATAGAAGAATTGCTTGAACCGGGAGGCAGAGGTTGCAGTGAGCTGAGATAGTGCCACCGCACTCCAGCCTGGGTGATACAGCAAGACTCTGTTTCAAAAAAAAAAAAAAGCCCAGGCCCGGTGGCTCATGCCTATAATCCCAGCACTTTGGGAGGCCAAGGTGGGCAGATCACTTAAAGTCAGGAGTTCGAGACCAGCTTGGCCAACATGGTGAAACTGTCTCTATTAAAAATACAAAAATTAGCTGGGCATGGTGGCACATACCTGTAGTCCCAGCTACTCAGGAGGCTGAGGCAGGAGAATCGCTTGAACCCAGGAGGCAGAGGTGGCAGTGAGCCGAGATCACGCCACTGCACTCCAGCCTGGGCAACAGAGTGAGACTCCGTCTCAAAAAAAAAAAAAATGCCTCCACAGGCCAGGCACTATGGCTCACACCTGGAATCCCAGCACTTGGTAGACCCAAGGTGGGTCAAGGTGGGTCAATTCTTGAGCCCAGGAGTTCAAGACCAGCCAGGGCAACATTGCAAAACCTCATCTCTACAAAAACAAACAAACAAACAAACAAAACCACTAGCTATTCGTGGTGGCACGCGCCTGTAGTCCCAGCTACTCAGGAAGCTGAGATGGGAGGATCACTGGAGCCCTGGAAGATGCCACTGCAGGCCAGCCTGGGTGACAAGAGTGAGACCCTGTTTCTTTTTTTTTTTTTTGAGATGGAGTTTTGCTCTTGTCGCCCAGGCTGGAGTGCAGTGGCATGATCTTGGCTCACTGCAACCTTCGCCTCCTGGATTCAAGAGATTCTCCTGCCTCAGCCTCCTGAGTAGCTGGGATTACAGGCATGCGCCACCATGCCCAGCTAATTTTGTATTTTTTTTTTAGTAGAGACAGAGTTTCTCCATGTTGATCAGGCTGGTCTGGAACTCCCAACCTCAGGTGATCCGCCCTCCTCGGCCTCCCAAAGTGCTGGGATTACAGGCATGAGCCACCGTGCCCAGCCCCAATTTTTGTATTTTTAATAGAGACAGGGTTTCACTATATAGCCAGTCTGGTCTCAAACCCCTGACCTCAGGTGATCCGCCCACTTCAGCCTCCCAAAGTGCTGGGATTACAGGCGTGAGCCACTGCACCCAGCCCCAATTTTTGTATTTTTAGTAGAGACAAGGTTTCACCATGTTGGCCAGGCTGGTCTCGAACCCCTGACCTCAGGTGATCCACCCATCTCAGCCTCCTGAAGTGCTGGGATTACAAGCATGAGCCAGGGCACCTGGCCAATAACTTACTCTTTTTAACCCTGCAGTATGTCATGGATCTCTTTCCTTGTCAGTATAAAATTACCTCGTTTTTTAACAGCTGTAGAATGTTTTGTTGTAGGGAGGTATTATAATTTATTTAAGCAATCCCTTGCAACTGAACATTGACTTTTTCCTGTTTTTCACTATCAGAAACAGTGTTGCAGTAAACAAATGTGTGTATGTTTTGCAAAAGTTCCTTCCTGTAAGACTCACCAAGTAGAATTGCTTGGTCAAAAAAACAATCTGTAGACACATATTTATTTATATATTTTTATTTTGGGGTAATTGAAGGCAGCACTTTGTGATATCATTCATTGGGTACATACTTGGGAGTATTGTGGCTGAAATGGCTTCTGAGCCCCTCAACGGACTACAGAGATCCACTGGGCTCTCCAGACAGAGGGCTGGCTGGACTGACAGAAACCATGGCCACCTCTGACAGCTCTATTGTGGCTTCTCTGAGGCAGGAGGTGGCCAGGGCACAGGGTCTTCCGTCCTCACCCTGCAGGGTACCTTTTGATATATTGGCTCATAACCCAGGAAGTTGGAGGTACTTCAGGAAGCTCTCAGAAGAGGTGGAACATACCAATTAGAATCAACCAGCACTAGCCAGGTGTGGTGGCTCACGCCTTTCCTTCGCCCCGATCTCCTCCAGGACAAGATCACCCACAAGGGCCAGGCGCAGTGGCTCATGCCTGTAATCCCAGCACTTTGGGAGGCTGAGGTGGGTGGATCATCTGACCTCAGGGGTTCGCGACCAGCCCGGCCAACATTGTGAAACCCTGTCTCTACTAAAAAGACAAAAATTAGCCAGGCGTGGTGGTGGGCACCTGTAGTCCCAGCTACTTGGGAGGCTGAGGCAAGAGAATTGCTCGAACCTGGGAGGCACAGGTTGCAGTGAGCTGAGATTGCACCATTCACTGCACTCCTGCCTGGGCAACGAAGTGAGACTCCATCTCAAATAATAATAATAATAATAATAAAATAAAATCAACCAGTGCTTATGTTGTCTGAAATTAGGCCCAGTCCACAAGGGCAAGGCTTGCAAGAGAGGAAGGAGGAATCGCGGAGCAGCAAACCAAAGCCAGGCCTGTGTCTTGAGAGGGCTTCTCACCAAGGGAAGGTATAACTGCCCCTTTTCCTGGCCTGTCCTGCTCTACGGGAATTTGAAACAAAATGTGGACTTTAGGAGGCTGCCTGGGAGGAAGGGGAGCCTGGGTGGGGCCATCCCTGCGGATCAGGAAAGGGCAGGATCATAGGATGGCTCCTGTGATTTGGGAGACAGTCGGTAAACAGGTAAACAGTGCAGACTGCGGAACTGTGCAAGAGAGTTTGAGGGAAGAGTTACCCAGTTGGTCCTCGGATTCCTACTCAAGGTGGCAGGTGGGGAAGACCTGGATTCACATCCTGTCACTACTGTGGACCAGCGGACCGAGGAGGCTTGGGGTGAGCCTCTGGATCCACATATATTTCACCTTGGGCTGTGGTGAGGATTAAATGAGGAAACAGATGCGACGCACCTACCATTGTTCCAAGCACACAATAGGTGCTCAATAAATAGTGTATTTATCAGTGGATAAAACCACTAGGATACCTAATCCAAGGAGATAGGGAACCAACCACCTAGGAAAGAGGATCCCAAATCCTACAGGACAGCCACCTGTGGGGCCTGAAATCAGGAGCACAAAGTGACAGGCAAGGAGCTTCCCATTGCTGCTGCTTGGTGGGTGGGATGGATTGTCCTAGACAAAGGATCTACACCTTCAGCCCTGGATTCTAGGATGTGAACCACACACCCATATCCCGCTGCCCTATCTGTGTCACAGCAACTCCCCTCAACCTCCAGGGAACGAGGAGGAGCGTCCTGGGGTCCAGTGGGCCTGAGCCGTGGCCATGAGTGGGGAGAGAGGATCATGGGGTGGGAAGGCTGTAAAAGATGTAAATGGTGTGGTGTGGAGCTCGGCTCCAGCTGTCTAGCACTCCCTGGAGCTGGCAGGAGTCCAGGGAAGGGGCCCCAGACTCAGGGCGCCTTTTGTTCCAGGGCTTGGCTATGTAAAAGGTGGGGGAAGGGGCAAGAATTCATGGAACTTGTCCATTCATTGGAGCCCCCGCTGCCAGCAGGTGCGAGAAGGAGGGAGGGAATGAGGGACTTGGGGCTGGAAGGTTTAGATATGAGAATGGCAGCTCAGCATGCAGTGGATGACAAACAGATTCCTCAGCTTCCATCCTCCAGGGCTGTGAACATTCAAGCCAGCCAGACCCCAGCCTGCTTAGAATGTGCCACGAACTGTTTCCTCTAGCCCCCAATTGGCGTTCCAAACCCCCATCTCTCCAGTCCCCAAATTCCCATTTTCTATGTTCTGCCAAAACACCCTGCTTCCCCAGGACCACTTCCATTGCTGTCTGATTTTCTGAGGTTTTGTTTGTTTCTTTCTTTCTTTTCTGTTCCTCTTTGGCTGCTTGGGGCTCACAGCTTCCAGGGCCTTCTCCAAAGCACCATATTCAAGCACTGGATGCTGCTTGGACATATCAATTGAGGTCCCAGAGAAATCAGTATGGGGAGAAGAAGGACTTGGAATCACACAAACATGGGTCCGAACCCTGCTTGCCCTTCCCAGCTGGGTAAACTCCAGGCAAGTTACTAACCTTTCAGAGCCGCATTCTTTAGGTAAAATGAGGATAATGTTTGTTCCTACTTCTCAGAGTTTTTGTAAACATTAAATTCTGAGTTGATGTCTAGAAAGCTCTTTGCACAATGCCTGGCCCAGAACAAGTGCTCAATGGATAATAAGCATAGGAAAACGAGGCAGAAAGCCCCTGCAGTGTTTTCATTTGTATTTCCTTGTTGCCAGAGAGATTAATCTTTTAAATGTATGTTTATTATGTATTAATATTTCTTTCCTCTTTTTTTCTTTTTTTATTTTGAAACAGGGTCTCACTCTGTTGCCCAGGCTGGAGTACAGTGGTGCAATCATGGGTCACTGCAGCTTCCAACTCCTGGGATCAAGCAATCTTCCTGCCTCAGCCTCCCGAGTAGCTGGGACTCCTGAGTAGACAGGGGTCCCACTATGTTGCCCAGGCTGTTCTCGAAATTTTGGGCTCAAGAGATCCTCCTGCCTTGGCCTCCCAAAGTGCTGGGGTAACAGGCGTGAGCCACCTTGCCCAGCCTATTTATAGTTCTTATTTCTTACATAAATTACCTGTGTTCATCTCTTATCCATTTTACTTCTAGTTTTTTTGTTTGTTTGTTTTTTGTTTTTTGACCTTTGGTTTGATAATTGGTGGAACAGCTTTATACATTTTGTAATTCTTTGTCATACAATTTGCAATTTTTTTCTCTTGGTTTCTCACTTGCTTTTGATTTTTTTGGCGTCTTTCAACATACAAAGTCTCTTTTTCCTTCTATATACCATATTCCCAAATCTGCGTTAGTTTCTCATTTTCCACAACATCCTCCCACAGATGGCCCACAGGAGCTGTCCCTGTATAGGCTGATTTTCTCAGCATTTTGGGGTCTGCACTGACCCTTGCCTTGACCAGTGCACTCCCCAGGACTTTATTAGGCCCTCCATTGTTCCCAAGATGCGAAAAACCTGCAGCCAGGGCTGTTTGACTGAATCCTGTAGTATTTTAGTTTTATCCTGAAATGCACACACTCCCCCCTACTGGTTTCTGGAAGGATCACACTCTTTTTTTTTTTCCTACTAGTTTGCTCATTTGGGGAAACTCTAAAATCTGATTGAGAAATCAGTGTCTGAATGAGAATGTATTTATTTATTTATTTATTGTATTTATTATTAGTTTTTTGAGATGGGGTCTCACTCTGTCTCCCAGGCTGGAGTGCAGTGGGGAGATCTCAACTCACTGCAACCTCCACCTCCTGGGCTCAAGCCATCCTCCCGCCTCAGCCTCCTGAGTAGCTGGGGCCATAGCATGCGCCACCACGCTCGGCTAATTTTTGTATTTTTGGTAGAGACGGGGTCTCGGCATGTTACGCAGGCTGGCCTCAAACTACCGGGCTCAAGTGAGCATCCTGCCTCGGCCTCCCAAAGTGCTGGGATTACAGGTGTGAGCCACCACACCCGGCCTGAATGAGAATTTAAATGTCCCCCATTAACCCTCTCTTTGGGGCCCAGGACTGCCTCAGGCTGTCCATATCTCACCATCTCAGCCAGCTGCCAGACAGACTGGCCATAAGATGTATTTCTGAGAAGTATGTGTAAATCTTACTTGATGAATTCCATTTTAATGCTGTAAGAGAAATTAAAATTAAAATAAATCCTTCTTTTTTTTTTTTTTTTTTTTTGAGTCAGAGTCTCACTCTGTCACCCAGGCTGGAGTGCAGTGGTGCCATCTCAGCTCACTGCAACCTCTGCCTCCCGGGTTCAAGCGATTCTCCTGCCTCAGCCTCCCGAGTAGCTGGGACTACAGGCGCCCGCCACCACGCTCAGCTAACTTTTTGTATTTTTAGTAGAGATGGGGTTTCACCATATTGCCCAGGCTGGTCTCGAACTCCTGACCTCATGATCCGCCTGCCTCGGCCTCTCAAAGTGCTGGGATTACAGGCGTGAGTCACCATGCCCGGCCTCTTATAGCTTATTTACTGGGCACTTACCATGTGCCATTCACGGCAGTTAAGCACTTTACATGAAGCTCTCAATCCTCAGGACCATAAGGAAAGATCAAATTTCTCCATTTTACAGATAAGTAGACTGAAGCTCTAGGAAGTTATGCAGCTTGGCTGAGGTCACCCAGCTGGAAGGTTGCCAGATTCAGCAAACAGACATATAGGAAGCCCAGTTAAATTTGCATTTCATATAAATAATGAATAATTTTTTAGTATTGCATGTCCCAAATATTGCATGCCATATTTTATCTGGCAACCCTTCCCAGATGATAAGTAGTAGAATGTGGCCTAGAATCCA
This sequence comes from Homo sapiens, assembly GCF_000001405.40. Lineage (NCBI taxonomy): Eukaryota > Metazoa > Chordata > Mammalia > Primates > Hominidae > Homo > Homo sapiens. The sequence continues at coordinate 74,323,768 of NC_000014.9, read as the reverse complement.
GGTCTCCTGATTCCCTGACCTTCCAGTGGGAGGACTAGGGAGTATTGCATGGAATTCTTTGGAAAGAAACCCCTGTACTAACTCTTGGACTCCACCTCAGACATACTGAATAGAATCTCTGGGAGTCAAGCCTAGGAATCTGCACTGGTTTTTTTTGTTTGTTTGTTGGTTTGGTTTTTTTTTTTTAGATGGAATTTCACTCTGTCGCCCAGCCTGGAGTGCAGTGGGGCGACCTTGGCTCACTGCAGCCTGCACTTCCCGGGTTCAAATGATTCTCCTGCCTCAGCCTCCTGAGTAGCTGGGATTACAGGCGCCCACCACCACGCCCAGCTGATTTTTGTAATTTTAGTAGAGATGGGGTTTCACCATGTTGGCCAGGCTGGTCTCAAACTCCTGACCTCAGGCGATCTGCCCGCCTCGGCCTCCCAAAGTGCTGGGATTACAGGCATGAGCCACCGCCCCCAGCCAGAACCTGCACTTTTTAACAAGTATCCTCACCTTCAAACCTCTACTCCCCAGAGATTTTTTTTGAACTTTGAATTTTGAGAGCACTTTTGTCTCTATGCAGCTTGTAGGTGGAGAAGCCCATATTCAGCTGTCCTGTGGCTTCCAATATTCCCAGTATGCTTTTTTTTTGAGATGGAGTCTCACTTTGTCACCCAAGCTGGAGTGCAGTGGCATGATCTCTGCTCACTTCAACCTCCACCTCCTGGGTTCAAGTGATTCTCCTGCCTCAGCCTCCCGAGTAGTTAGGATTACAGGTGCATGTCACCATGCCTGGCTAATTTTTGTATTTTTGTAGAGACAGGGTTTCACCATTTTGGCCAGGCTGGTCTCAAACTCCTGACCTCAGGTGATCTGCCCACCTTGGCCTCTCAAGGTGCTGGGATTACAGGCGTGAGCCACCGTGCCCGGTCCCTAGTATGCTTTTTAAGTTCATTCACTCATCCATCCATAAAACTCCTGACAGATATTTATTGTTTGAAGGCTTGTCCTGCCAGCTAGGGATAGAAAGGAGAATTGGAGGCAACCGGAGACTTTGAGGAGCTTCTGTTCCACTGCAGGACATTGACAAGAAAACAGACACAATAGGAATACAGGGGGTGTTGGGTTGGACAGTTCCATAGGGGCTATGACAGGATTTGCTTCAGAAGCAGAGGGACAGGGTGGGAGCAGTCAGTTGCAAATTTCAGGGGATATGCTTCAGTGGAGTCTTGAAAGGCCAATAATTGTGTTTTCCTACCAAGGGGAGAACAAACGATAATAGATATAAATTTTAGACAGTGGTTACAATTTGCAATAAGAAATGAATTTAAATAGGCCAGGTGCAGTGGCTCATGCCTGTAATCCCAACATTTTGGGAGGCTGAGGAGGGACAATCACTCGAGCCCAGGAGTTCAAGATCTGTCTGGGCAACACAGTGAGACCCCATCTCTATAAAAAATATAAAAATTAGCTGGACCTGATGGTGCACTCCTGTGGTCCCAGCTACTCAAGAGGCTGAGGTGAGAGGATTGCTTGAGCTCCAGGAGGCAAGAGGTTACAGTGAGCCATGACTGTGCCACTATACTCCAGCATGGGCAACAGAGTGAGACCCTGTCTCAAAAAAAAAAAAATATGGGGAGCCGGGCACGGTGGCTCACGCCTGTAATCCCAGCACTTTGGGAGGCCAAGGCAGGTGGATCATGAGGTCAAGAGATCGAGACCATCCTGGCCAACATGGTGAAACCCCGTCTCTACTAAAAAACAGAATACAAAAAATTAGCTGGGTGTGGTGGCACACACCTGTAGTCTCAGCTACTCAGGAGGCTGAGGCAGGAAAATCGCTCAAACCCGGGAGGTGGAGGTTGCAGTGAGCCAAGATCGCACCACTGCACTGCAGCCTGTGGGACAAGAGCAAGACTCTGTCTCAAAATAAATAAATAAATAATAAAATAAAAATACATTTTAAAAATGCAAATGAAAAGCTGGGCACGGTGGCTCACGCCTGTAATCCCAACATTTTGGGAGGCTGAGGCAAGTGAATCACCTGAGGTCAGGAGTTCGAGACCAGCCTGGCCAACATGGGGAAACCCCGCCTCTACTAAAAATACAAAAATTAGCGGGCATGGTGGCGCATGCCTGTAATCCCAGCTACTTAGGAGGTAAGGCAGGAGAATCGCTTGAACCCAGGAGGTGGAGGTTGCAGTGAGCCGAGACCACACCACTGCACTCCAGCCTGGGCAACAGAGCAAGACTCTGTCTCAAAAAAAAAAAAAAAAAAGCAAATGAAAGAGAGCAAGAATGTGGGCTCTGGAGCCAGACATCCCGGTTACTTCCAAGTTCCCCCACTTACTAGCCCTATGACCACGTCCATGTACCCCACCCCATCCTTTCCATGCCTCAGTTTTGCGTTCTGTGAAATCGGGATGATCATATTCTCTTCCTCATTGGTTGGGTGTGCAGGTTAAAGGAAATAATCATACAAAATGCCTCATGCAGCTCCTACTTAGTAAGTATTCAATAGAGGTTAACATCAACAATTTTCCTCTCTTTTCTACACCTTCCCTGCAGCCTACAAATGTGTTGTAACAGCTTTCCATCCTTGATCCTGGATCCTCCTCTTATTACTGACACATTACTTGTCCCCATTTGTGGCACAACTCTTTGAAAGAATTGTGTGTAATTCCCATTTCTATTTTCTCACCTTCCTGTTTCTCCTGAACCCACTCCATGGAACCTGCTCTTGTCAAGGCCACTGATAAACTTTATATGCATTTCCAGTGGGCAATTCTCAATCCTTATCCACAGCCTTTCAGGAACATTTGACACAGTTGATCCACCCTTGCTGCTGCTGCTGCTGCTGCTTTTTTTTTTTTTTTTTTTTTTTTAAAGAGATGGGATCTGGCCAGGCAATGGCTCACGCTTGTAATCCCAGCACTTTGGGAGGCCAAGGCAGGTGGATCATGAGGTCAGGAGGTCCAGACCTGCCTGACCAAGATGGTGAAACCCCCATCTATACTAAAAATACAAAAATTAGGCAGGTTCAGTGGCGGGCACCTGTAATTCCAGCTACTTGGGAGGTTGAGGCAGGAGAATCGCTTGAACCCGGGAGGTAGAGGTTGCAGTGAGCCGAGATCACGCCACTGCACTCTAGCCTGGGTGACAGAGCAAGACTCCGTCTCAAAAAAAAAAAAAAAAAAAAAAAAAAAAAAAAAAAAAAAAAGAGGCCGGGCGCAGTGGCTCAAGTCTGTAATTCCAGCACTTTGGGAGGCCAAGGCGGGCGGATCACAAGGTCAGGAGATCGAGACCATCCTGGCTAACATGGTAAAACCCCGTCTCTACTAAAAATACAAAAATTTAGCCGGCGTGGTGGCGGCGGGCGCCTGTAGTCCCAGCTTCTTGGGAGGCTGAGGCAGGAGAATGGCGTGAACCCGGGAGGCAGAGGTTGTAGTGAGCCAAGATTGTGCCACTGCACTCCAGCCTGGGCGACAGAGCGAGACTCCGTCTCAAAAAAAAAAAAAAAAAAAAAAAAAAAAAGGGATGGGATCTTGCTCTGTCACCCAGGCTGGAGTACAGTGGCATAATCATAGCTCACTGCAGCCTCGAAGACTGAGGCTTAAGCAATCCTCGCACTTCAGCTTCCTGTAGTGGGAGCAGCTAGGAGTATAGGAGCATGCCACTATGCCCAGCTAATTTTTTTATTTTTATTTTTTTGTAAAGAGGGAGGTCTCACTATGTTGCCTGAGCTGGTCTCAAGCAATCCTCCCGCCTCCACCTCCCAAAGTGCTGGGATTACAGGCATGAGCCACCGTGCCCAGCCAGGGCTTGCTTCTTGAAGCACTCATATTCTTTGGCTTTCAGGACAACACATTTGTCCAGTTCTCCTACCTCCCTGGCTGCTCCTTCTCCATCTCCTTTGCTGGCTCTTTACTACTAGATGTTGGACTCCCAAAAGGCACAGTCCTCTGACCTCTTTTCTTCTCAATCTACAGTCAACCCTTAGGTGATCTCTTGCAATCTACTCATTTAAAACCCCACCTTTCTTCTGATGATTTCCACATTTATGGCTCCAGCTCAGACATCTTCCCTAACTTCCAGACTCAAACAGCCAATTGCTTATGTAACATCACCACTGGGTGTCCAACAGGCATCTCAAATTTAACCTGTCCATAAACAAACTCTTGATTTACCACCTGTTCCTCACACATAATCTGTTCTTTCCCCATAACTCCCAACCCCAGTAAATGGTACCATCATTCACTCAGTTGCTCAGTCCAAAGCCTTAAAGTTGCACTTGAAGCGGGGTCTTTGATAGCTCAGTTGGTAGAGCAGAGGGCCATTTGGATGAGCTGCAGAACCACACTTGATTCCTTTTTCTCTCATTCACCACATCCAAACCCAAATCTGATTGTCTCTATTGTCAAAATACTATAAAAATACATCCCGAGGGGGCCAGGCGCGGGCCGGGCTCATGCCTGTAATCCCAGCACTTTGGGAGGCCAAGGAGGGTGGATCATTTGGGGTCAGGAGCTCAATACCAGCCTGGCCAACATAGTGAAACCCCATCTCTACTGAAAATACAAAAATTAGCCAGGCAGTAGTGGCACATGCCTGTAATCCCAGCTACTCTGGAGGCCAAGGCAGGAGAATCGCTTGAGCCTGGGAGGCGGAGGTTTCAGTGTGGTGAGCCAAGGTCGAGCCACTGCACTCCAGTCTGGGTGACAGAGTGAGACCCCATCTCAAAACAAACAAACAACAAAAAAAAATCCCGAGACCAGGCACAGTGGCTCATGCCTGTAATCCCAGCACTTTGGGAGGCCGAGGCAGGTCGATCACTTGAGGTCAGGAGTTCAAGACCAGCCTGACCAACACGGTGAAACCCGGTCTCTACTAAAAATATACAAATTAACTGGGCATGGTGGCACATACTTGTAGTCCCCAGCTACTTGAGAGGCTGAGGCACAAGAATTGCTTGAACCTGGGAGGTGGAAGTTGCAGTGAGCCAAGATTGGGCCATTGCACTCCACCCTGAGCAACAGAGCAAGACTCCATTTAAAAAAAAAAAAAAAAAAAAAGGCCGGACACGGTGGCTCACGCCTGTAATCCCAGCACTTTGGGAGGCCAAGGCGGGCGGATCACCTGAGGTCAGGAGTCCGAGACCAGCCTGGCCAGCATGGTGAAACGCCTTCTCTACTAAAAATACAAAAATTAGCCGGGGCCTTGCGTGGTGGCTCACACCTGTAATCCCAGCGCTTTGGGAGGCCGAGGCAGGCGGATCACCTGAGGTTGGGAGTTCAAGAACAGCCTGACCAACATGGAGAAACCCCCACCTCCACTAAAAATACAAAAATAGCCGGGCGTGGTGGCGCATGCTTGTAATCTCAGCTACTCGGGAGGCTGAGGCAGGAGAATCACTTGAATCCAGGAGGCGGAGGTTGCGGTGAGCCGAGATCACGCCATTGCGCTCCAGCCTGGGCAACAAAGAGCGAAACTCTGTCTCCGAAAAAAAAAAAAAATTAGCCAGGCGTGGTGGCACATGCCTGTAATCCCAGCTATTCAGGAGGCTGAGGCAGGAGAATCCCTTGAACCTGGGAGGTGGAGATGGCAGTGAGCCGAGACTAAGGTCTCTCAACCTTAGTACTATTGTCTTTTTTTAAATTTTATTTTTGAGACAGGTTCTTACCCTGCTGCCCAGGCTGGAGTGCAGTGGCACAATCATAGCTCACTGCAGCCTTGAACTCCTGGGCTCAAGCAATCCTCTTGCCTCAGCCTCCGTAATAGCCTGGACTACAGTTGCTTGCTACCATGCTCAACTAATTTAAAAAAAGAGATGAGGTCTTGCTTTGTAGCCCAGGCTGGTATAAAGCTCCTGGCTTCAAGCAATACTCCCATGTTGGCCTCCAAAAGCGCTGGGATTACAGGCATGAATCACTGTGCCCAGCCACCATTGAGATTTTGTTTTTTTTGTTTTTTTGTTTTTCTTTGGAGACAGAGTCTCACTGTATCCTCCAGGCTGGAGTATAGTGGCACGAACTCTGCTCACTGCCACCTCCACCTCCCAAGTTCACGTGATTCTCATGCCTCAGCCTCCCAAGTAGCTGGTATTATAGGCACCTGCCACCACACCCAGCTAATTTTTGTATTTTTAGTAGAAACGGAGTTTCACCATGTTGGCCAGGCTAGTCTTGAACTCCTGAGCTCAGGTGACCCACCCACCTTGGCCTCCCAAAGCGCTGGTATTACAGGTGTGACCCACCGTGCCTGGCTCACTATTGACATTTTGGACCAAGTAATTATTTGTCATGGGGAGTTGTCCTGTGCATTATTGTAGGATACTTTGCAGCACTCACTAGAAGACAATAGCATCCGTCAGTTATGACAACCGAAAATATCCAGATACTGAACAAATGTCCTTGGCTGGTAGGGAGAGTTGGGGAGAAGTATGTAAGATAAGCTAGAGCAAAGTCACCCTGGTTGAGAGCCACTTCTCTACAGCTCTGTACCATTCTATAGTCCCCACCAACCTGTCCCTTTCTATAGTCCCAACCATGACTCTCTCACCTGAAATACCAGAATAGCTTCCTATCTGATTTCCCTAACTCCATTCTAGCTCTCCATACAGCAGCATCCAGGGTGATCCTTTTAAATCATCCACCAAATTTTGTCACTCTTCTGTTTTTAACCCTCCAATGGCTTCCTGTAACAATAAAGATTCAAATTTTTTATGATAGTGTGCAAGACTCTACATGACCTGGCCCTTGTGCATTTCCTATCACTCTCCCCTTGTTCATTGCACTCTGGCCATGCTGGCTTCTTTGCTCTTCCTTGAACATCCCAAGAATAATCCCTCCTTGCCGGGCGGTGACTCACACCTGTAATCCCAGCACTTTGGGAGGCCGAGACGGGCGGATCACGAGGTCAGGAAATCGAGACCATCCTGGCTAACACAGTGAAACCCCGTCTCTACTAAAAATACAAAAAAATTAGCCGGGCATGGTGGCGGGCGCCTGTAGTCCCAGCTACTCGGGAGGCTGAGGCAGGAGAATGGCGTGAACCCGGGAGGCGGAGATTGCAGTGAGCCGAGATCACGACACTGCACTCCAGCCTGGGTGACAGAGTGAGACTCCATCTCAAAAAAAAAAAAAAAAAGAATAATCCCTCCTTTGGGCATTTGCATTTGCTGTTCCCTTTGCTTAGAATGCTCTTCCCTCAGAATCTGCATGGCTCCTTCCTTCACTTCATTCAGGTTGTTTGTTCATTTGTTTGTTTGTTTGTTTGAGATGTCTCGCTTTGTTGCCCAGGCTGGAGTGCAGTGGCGTGATCTCGGCTCACCACAGCCTCTGCCTCCCAGGTTCAAGTGATTCTCCTGCCTCAGCCTCCCAAGTAGCTGGGACTAGAGGCGTGCGACACACCTGGCTAATTTTTATATTTTTAGTAGAGACAGAGTTTCACCATGTTGGCCAGGCTGGTCTTGAACTCCTGATCTCATGACCCACCCACCTCAGCCTCCCAAAGTGCTGGCATTACAGGTGTAAACCACCACACCCAGCCTCATTTAGGTTCTTTAAAACCTCCTCGGAGAGTCCTTCCCTGACCACCCTATCCCAAGAAGCACCTCCACCATCATCCTCTCTCCCCATATGCTGGGTGATGGACATGTTGACCCCCTGCCCAGATTCCCTTTCAAGGCAGGACTTGTTGCCCCAGCTGCTGGGAGTGCCGTAAGCAGACAGCCTTCAGCTATCAGCTCCTTTGAGAATTGCCTCAGCTACAAGAGAGAATTTGCCTGAGTTTACGCCCTTTGCAAGATATCCCACACCCAGTGACTGATTGGGGTGGGGTAGAAAGGAGGGCCACTGTGGCCCAACAGGAAGCAACTGAGATGGGCCATGTCCACTCTGGTGCTCCCCATGGGGTCGGCTGAGGCTGTAGTAGGGCCTACCTCTCAGCTTGATTCCTCCCTCTGCCCAATCATGCTTCCTTCATCTCCCTACCAATATGCAATCTCTATAGTCATTGAGCATGATAAGCATTGTCTCAGGGTGTGGATCCAGTGGACCCTACTTGTGACACCCACTGTAGTTTTCTTAGCGCTATCTGATTTATATTTAATATTGTTTTGTATTTGCCTAAGGTCTGTGAAGGCAGATACTTTGTCTTGAAACTGCTATATCTCCAGCACCTATGCCTGGCACATACAGAGTAGTTACTCAGTAAATGCTTTTTGTTTGCTTTTTTGTTGTATTGTTTTGTAGAGACAGGGTCATGCTATGTTGCCCAGGCTGATCTCAAACTCTTGGCCTCAAGCAGTCCTCCCGCCTCGGCATCCCAAAGCACTGGGATTATAGGCATGGCCACCACACCCGGCCTGGTCAATAATTACTGAATGTTGAACGAATTATCACTGTTGCTGGTTGCGGTGGCTCATGCTTGTTATACCAACTACTCAGGAGGCTGAGGCACAAGACTCGCATGAATCTGGGAGGTGGAGGTTGCAGTGAGCCAAGATCACACCGCTACAAGCCAGCCTGGGCGACAGAGTGAGACTCCGTCTCAATTTCAAAAAAAAAGAAGTATCACTGCCATCTCCTTAATACTGTTGGGGCTCAGAAAACAATACCCCAAAGTATGGCACTTTGGCATGCTGATACTTTGAACTGAAAGACATTGGAAGGACCTCAAAAGCAAAGTCTCTTTCTTCTCTTCTCCTGTTCTTCTTTCTCCTGCTTCCCTTCCTCTCCCAAGGCAGGCCATAGAAACTAGAACCCTTCTTCTTCAAAGCCAGCCATAAAACCTAGAAATAGGACTTTAACCTTCCTCCATCCTTCTGTGTAGGAGCTGGCCATAAAATTCTGACCTACCTTGTCTGAAAATAGACCATAAGACCTTCATTTCAGAAGGGGCACTGCCCTAAACCCAGGAGAAAGGAACACCACACAAACAGGCCAAGAAGAATCTGAACAGAGGCCTTGCTGGGTTTCCCCACTCAGTCTGTTACTATTAGATCATTCCCTTTCTGTCTAATCACATTTCAACACAGCTGTCATGCTTCACTGAATCTAAGCATAAAAATGAACAGTTTTTGGCTGGACGCAGTGGCTCATGCCTGTAATCCTGGCACTTTGGGAGGCCGAGGCAGGCGGATCATGGAGGTCAGGAGATAGAGACCATCCTGGCTAACTCGATGAAACCCCATCTCTACTAAAAATACAAAAAAAAAAATTTAGCCGGGTATGGTGGTGTGCACCTGTAGTCCCAGCTACTCAGGAGGCTGAGGCAGGAGAATTGCTTGAACCCAGAAGGTGAAGGTTGCAGTGAGCCGAGATTGTGCCACTGCACTCCAGCCTGGGCCACAGTGTGAGACTTCATCTCAAAAAAAAAAAAAAAAAAAAGAACAGTTTTTTTCTTGAGTCTTTTGGTCCTCATTTCTGAAGGCTCCCACGTCACATACAATTACACAATTTTGATTAGATAAATCTGATATGCTTTTAGATGGACATGGTGGTGTGCGCCTGCAACTCCAGCTACTGGGAAGGCTGAGGCGGGAAGATAGCTTGAGCCCAGAAGTTCAAGGCTGCAATGAGCCATGATCACACCACTGTACTCCAGCCTAGACAACAGAGCAAGACCTTGTCTCTAAAAAAAAAATTAAAAGAGAAAGTTATAAATTGCTTATGCTTTTCTCTTGTTAATCAGTCTTTTGTTATAGGAGTGGTGGCCATGACCCTTATGATAAAGAGGAGATTTATTATACCTTTCCACCCCTTCAATACTCTAAGATTACTCTATGGTTGGGGAGTCCTTTGGTGATATCTAATATAAAGGCTCCAGCTGTTTTTCGTTTTTTGTTTTTGAGACAGTGTCTCGCTCTGTTGCCCAGGTTGGAGTGCAGTGGCACGATCTCAGCTTCCCAAGCATCTGAGACTACAGCTTGCACCACCACACCCAGCTAATTTTTGTTTTTGTTTTGTAGCAATGAGGTCTTGCCATGTTGCCTAGGCTGGTCTCCAACTCCTGAGCTCAAGCAATCTTCCTGTCTCAGCTTACCAAAGTGCTGGAATTACAGGTATGAGCCACCACGCCCAGCCAAGGCTCCAACTTTTTAACAGACTTGCAGGGGCCTTAATCTTTCCAAAATGATTCCAGGGTGGAAAGAGGCCAAGATGGTTTCAGATCTAGAGGACGTGACAGCAGGGCTCTGCTCAGCTGACAACTCTGTCCCTCCTGCTCACAAATTTAATAGGCTGTTCTCACTTGGGGAAGATGTCACCGTCCTTTGAACCAGCTACACTGCAGACATTTTGACCTGGTCAGCCCACAGGATAAATTTTAGATTAAGCAGCTATTCTTGAGTATTTTAACAAACTTTCATTTTTTTTAAGAACTTTCACATTGCTCAGGAATTTCTTTTTTTTTGCTCAGGAATTTCTTAGGATGGCCATTAGATGTGAGTCGCTTTATCATTCTAATTTTATATACAGGGAAACCTAGGTCAGAGGAGTAGCTTCATTCATCACAGAAGTGTTTAGTGAACACCTTCTATGTGCCAGGCGCTGGGCTGGGTATTGGAGGTTGACTAGGCAAGCTCCTTGGCTAGCAAGGGAAACAGACAGGTCCAACTCTGTCTATAACTGAGGTGTGAACCAAGAGCTTGGAGGACCAGAAGATAAAATGATTGCTTCTCTTTTAGGGTATAATCTCTGAAAAAAATTTATTGTATAGGTAACATTTTAAAAAACAAAACACAGGCCAGGCGCAGCGCGCATGCCTGTAATCCCAGCACTTTGGGAGGCCGAGGCAGGTGGATCATGAGGTCAGGAGTTCGAGACCAGCCTGACCAACATGGTGGAACCCTGTCCCTACTAAAAATATAAAACTTAGCCAGGCGTGGTGGAGTGAGCCTGTAATCCCAGCTACTCAGGAGGCTGAGACAGGAGAATAACTTGAACCTGGGAGGCGAAGGTTGCAGTGAGCCACTGTACTCCAGCCTGGGCGCCAGAGCGAGACTCTGCCTCAAAAAAAAAAAAAAAAACACAGGCCAGGTGCGGTGGTGCGTGCTTGTAACCCCAGCGCTTAGGGAGAGTGAAGAAGGCAGATCACTTCAGCCCAGGAGTTTGAGACCAGCCTGGGCAACATGGTGAAACCCCGTCTCTACAAAAAATACAAAAATCAGCTGGGTGTGGTGGCATGTGCCTGTAGTCCCAGCTACTCGGGAGGCTGAGGTGGAAGGATCACTCGAGCCTGGGAGGTCGAGGCTGCAGTGAACCAAAACTACATCACTGCACTCCAGCCTGGACTACAGAGTGAGACTTTCTCTTGAAAAAAAAGAGAGATTAAAAAACAAAACACTTAAGCATATGGGCTCTTTAGTCAAACTGCCTTTTGCTCTCTCCAATCCTTGCATTCTGAATTCCTACAGATTGCAATCAACTTCAGTGGGTGCACAGTTATGCACACACAAACATGCTTTTAAAAAACAAAATATGGAGCCTATCTTCTTTTAAACTTAGCTATATTTGGGATATATCCAAAGATGTTAATTGCAGCATTATATGTAATAGCAAGAGACTATAACCCACTAAAATGTCTGTCAATAGGAAACTAGATATATAGTTCCTCTGTAGAGACAGTCCCTGACTTATGATGGCACAATTTGACAATGGGTTTGTCACAAACTTAACAGTGGAAAAAAGTAATTACTTAAATCTGTGTATGCTGGCTGGGCGCGGTGGCTCATGCCTGTAACCCCAGCACTTTGGGAGGCCAAGGCAGGTGGATCACCTGAGGTCAGGAGTTCAAGACCAGCCTGGCCAACATGGTGAAACCCTGTCTCTACTAAAAATACAAAAAATTATCCAGGCATGGTGGCGGATGCCTGTAATACCAGCTACTCAGGAGCCTGAGGCAGGAGAATTGCTTGAACCAGGAAAGCAGAGGTGACAGTGAGCCAAGATCGCACCACTGTGCTCCAGCCTGGGTGACAAGAGCGAAACTCCATCTCAAAAAAAAAAAAAGTCTGTATATGCTGATATGGAACAACTTCCAAGATATATTACAAAGTGTAAAAAGAAAGCTGCGGCCGGGAGCGGTGGCTCACCCCTATAATCCCAGCACTTTGGAAGGCCGAGGCAGGCAGATCACCCGAGGTCAGGAATTCAAGACCAGCCTGGCCAACATGGCGAAACCCCGTCTTTACTAAAAATACAAAAATTAGCCAGGTGTGGTGGAGCATGCCTGTAATCCCAGCTACTTGGGAGGGAGTAGCTTGACCCCAGGAGGCAGAGGTTGCAGTGAGCCAAGATCACGCCACTGCACTCCAGCTTGGACAACAGAATGAGAGTCTGTCTCAAAGAGAAAAAAAAAAAAAAATGCAAGCTGCAAGGCAGAGTGTTTAAAAGGAAAAGGAGTATTTGTGTTTGAGTGTGGGTATGTGTGAAATATATTAATACATATAAGTTTGCATATATATAAAACATTTCGGGAAAGATTCCTAAGAAGCTGTGAACAGCTTGGCTCTGGGGTGGAAGACAAACTTATTTTTTATTATATGCCCTATCATCTTTTGCAAAATTTTTTTTAACCACATGCTTTTCAATTTTTCAATTAAAAAACTAGTTGATTAAATGAAACAATAGGGCATGGACATTGTTCAATGTTTAATATTAATGTCACATTCAGCTCTTATTATTGCCAGGTAATGTTTAAGTCTTAATATCTATTAACTTGTTTATTCCTCGAAACAACCCTCTGATGTGGAAACTATTATTACCCTCATTTACAGATTTTAAAAAACTGAGGCTAGGTGCAGTGGCTCATGCCTGTAATCCCACCACTTTTGGAGGTCAAGGCAGGAGGAACGCTTGAGGCCAGGAGTTCGACAGCCTAGGCAACATAGTGAGGCCCTGTCTTTACCCCCCCAAATTTTTTTTAAAGAAAAATTTAAAAACCTCACCGGGTGCAGTGGCTCATGCCTGTAATCCCACCACTTCGGGAGGCCAAGGTGGGCGGATCACTTCAGGTCAGGAGTTTGAGACCAGACTGGCCAAGATGGTGAAACCCCATCTCTACTAAAAATACAAAATTTAGCCAGGCATGGTGGCACATGCCTGTGGTCCCAGCTACTTGGGAGGCTGAGGCAGGAGAATCACTTGAACCCAGGAGGCGGAGGCTGCAGTGAGCCGGGATTGTGCCACTGCACTCCAGCCTGGGTGACAGAGCAAGACTCTGTGTTTAAAAAAAAAAAAAAAAAAAAACAGAGGCAGCATGCCCCCAAGGTCACACAAATACCAAGTGATAGAGTGGGGATTTGAACCCATGCAATCCGGCTCTGAGGTCCATGTTCTGAATCACTATGGCAATGCTACTTCTCCTTTTTTTTTTTTTTTTTTTGAGACAGAGTTTTGCGTTTGTTGCCCAGGCTGGAGTGCAATGGCGCGATCTCGGCTCACTGCAACCTCTGCCTCCCACGTTCAAGTGAGTCTCCTGCCTCAGTCTCCCGAGTAGCTGGGACTACAGGAATGTGCCACCACGCCTGGCTAATTTTGTATTTTTAGTAGAGACGGGGTTTCTCCATGTTGGTCAGGCTGGTCTCGAACTCCCAACCTCAGGTGATCCACCCGCCTCAGCCTCCAAAAGTGCTGGGATTACAGGCGTGAGCCATGGCACCCGGCCATCTCCTTCTTATTAATAGCTGCAAAATATATTCTACACAGTGAGGGTGTCATATTTTGTTTAACTGCTCCTCCTTTGATAAGCATTCTGGTTGCTTCTAGGATTTTGCTATTACCTTCTATGCTGTAGAAACATCCTTGTGATTGACCCTTTGTCCTTTGTGCTTTTGGGTAAATATATTTATAAGAGAATTCCTGGAAATGAAACTACGGCATCATCTAAAATTTGACAGTTATTACCAAATTATTTTCCTTTTTTAAAAAAAACATCAATTTGTCTTCCCTTTATCTATGTATAAGAGTGAGGAAGTAGCACAGGACTCTAGGAGCTGAAATAAGGGAAGTTTGGTCCCATTAGAAAACAGTATAAGCAGAGACAGTGACCTGTGGGTTTTTTAAAATTTTATTTATTTACTTTTAGAAACGAGGTCTCGCTGTGTTGCCCAGGCTGGAGTGCAGTGGTATGATCATAGCTCAGTGCAGCCTCTAACTCCTGGGCTCAAGCAATCCTCCTGCCTTAGCCTCCGTTGTTGAGGCTGCAGTGAGCCCTAGCCTCACTGTGTGTTTTTTGAGGTTAGGGATTGTCTTGTTTATCTTTGTTCAACAAACAGCACAAGAATCACTTAAGAGCTTTAAGTGGGCTGTTGATTTGGTTTACATTTGTGCACATTTCTCTGGCTGCTTTGTAAAAACTGGATTAGAGCCGGGGGAAATTCAAGTGTATAAACCCAGTTAGAAGATTTTGCAAATATTTGTTAAACAAATAGCTACTGTGCTCTTACGAGTGCTTCTGGAAAATGGGGACACAGTAGTGTGAACACAACAGACATGGTCCCTGTCCTCTTGGGGTGGAGCGAGAGAGGCATGAATGAAGTAAACGCACAAAATGAAAATATAACCAGCTGCAATAAATGCTAGAAGCAGGAAAAAGTGGGGTGCTGTGGAAGGAAACAATAAAGGGTGGTTAGGAAAAGACTCTCTGGGGAAGGGACATTCACAGCGGGGATGGAAGGAAGAATAAAAATCACCGGAAGAGTAGAGGAAAACAAGGTTTGTTTTCTAGCCCCTAAAGAGGTTCAAACAGAAATTAGCTGGGCATGGTGGCATAAGCCTGTAATCCCAGCTACTCGAGAGGATGAGGCACAAGAATCACTTTAACCTGGGAGGCAGAGGTTGCTGTGACCTGAGATCATACCACTGCATTCCATCCTGGGCAACAGAGCAAGACTGTCTCAAAAAAAAAAAAAAAACAAACAGAAGTTGGAGCAATAGGCAAGGCCAGGGCATAAGAAGCCTTGAAGAGCAGGGTGCAGTGGCTCGCGCCTGTAATCTCAGCACTTTGGGAGGCCAAGGCCAGCAGATCACTTGAGGTTAGGAGTTCGAGAGTAGCTTGGCCAACATGGCAAAACCCCATCTCTACTAAAAATAACAAAA